>NC_000006.12:48544848-48847878 GCF_000001405.40 Homo sapiens | reverse complement strand
GCCATGATCAAGTGGGTTTTATACCAGGGATGGTTTCACATACGCAAGTCAATAAATGTGACACACCACATAAACAGAATTAAAAACAAAAATCACATGATTATCTCAACAGATGCAGAAAAAAAGCATTTGACAAAATCCAGCATCCTTTCATCATTAAAACTCTCAGCAAAATTGGCATACAAGGGACATACTTTAACATAATAAAAGCCATCTATGACAAACCCACAGCCAACATAATACTGAATGGGGAAAAATTGAAAGCATTCCCTGTGAGAATGGGAACAAGACAATGATACCCACTCTCACCACTCCTCTTCAACTTAGTACTGGAAGTCCTAGCCCGAGAAATCAGACAAAAGAAAGAGATAGAGAGCATCCAAATCAGTAAAGAGGAAGTCAAACTGTCACTGTTTGCTGACAATATGAAAGCTCCTAGAACTGATAAAAGAATTCAGCTAAGTTTCCGGATACAAGATTAATGTACACAAATCAGTAGCTCTTCTATACACCAACAGCAACCAAGCAGAGAATCAAATCAAGAACTCAACCCTTTTCACAATAGTTGCAAAAAAAATAAAACACTTAGGAGAAATGTTACTTTTAGTCTGGGAAACAAAAAGAATCAGCAATGTTTCAAACAAAAAGTCATACAAAATTATTTTATTCCTCCAATCTTTTAGTCCCATGTAATTAAATCTTGATCTGCTTGATGTTGGCTTAGTAATGTTTACAAAAATATCAGTTTTTAAAAAGATTCTTGAAATTTTTGTCTAGTCCAATGGTATTATCTCCAAAGCTGTTAGTAACCTGTATTCAAGAGGAATTGTCAGGGTCTTTTCTATGAATATTTTTTAAGAAGTAGCAAATTTGGGACAGCAGCTGATTATAAATTGCTTTCTGAGAAGATCCAAAGTAAAATAATAATTATCTGTGGATGACAAAAATGCTTAGAATAACCATGGTTAAAGAAGCAATTGGCAAGAAAATTTTGTGTGTGTGTGGTATACAACAGTTTAACATAATTATCATAATTATGACTGATGATATATACCAGAGCATAACATAATTTTAGGGCTCTCATACAATTTTGGAAGTCATATTAATAACATTCTTATACAAATATAATGTGAAAGAAGTTAAACACTATTCTTACCTGACAATGTTTCCCACATGATTTTTACACACTGAATAAGCCTATTGTCTCTCTAGTTATGCAGGAGAATAGGATCTGGAGGCAGGGAACCTTAAACCAATTCACACTGTCTTCCTAGAACTAAATCAAAAGGAAAACCCCAATTTTCCATGACAGAGTAACAAAACAACACAGACTACTCCCTTTTCAACCCCTCCATCCCTGCTTTCTGCATCGCAGTTGAGAAATGGAAAGTACCTCTGATTGGTCCCCTCCCACAACCAATCAGACTGGTCATGGACCAAGTCTTCATTTGCATAGGGGTGTAACTTTATAACCTCATTTCGGCTTCCGATTGGTCACCTTCCATGACCAGTCAGACTGGTCACGAGCCACTCCTTCATATACATAATGTGTAAACCAAGTAACTGATGGGAAACTTCTAGAGGGTATTTAAACCCCAGAAAATTCTGTAACCAGGGATCTTGATCCATCTACTCAAGCCCACTCCTGCTCTGTGGAGTCTACTTTTGTTTCAATAAATCTGTGCTCTCATTGCTTCATTCTTTCATTGCTTTGTTATAGGTTTTGTCCAATTATTTGTTCAAAATGCTGAGAACCTATACTCATAGTCAGGACCCTCCACCAGTAACACGTGGACTCCTAGGGGTTCCTATTTGTTATGTATGAGTTAGTTTAGATTAAAGTATTTACTTTTATAATTGGAAATATAATTTAGGAAAGTCTGTCAAATATTAAAGATGTAAAACACTTGATAATATAGTAACTAAGTTTTAAAACACATGATTAAAATAGGATAACAGAAAGAGGGAGAGTCAAGGAGGCTGACTAAAAGCAGCTAGTGGGCACCAGTCTCACAGAGAGAAGAAAAAGTAGTGAGTAAACTGTGGATCTTCATCTGAAATATCAAGGTGGACACACTGGGATTCATCAAGGAAACAAATTGGCCCACAGAAAATGTGGTGGAGCGAGACAGGACGACCACCCACTTGTGAGTGACATGGAACCAGAGGCGGCTTCCCTACTGTAGGTAAATGTTGAGTGAGTGAGAATACCCAGGGACCCATACTTCCATGGACCTTTGCAACTTGAGGCTGAGAAGATCACCTCATGAGGCCACCCTGATGAGGCCTTCAGACTGCCATGCAGAGCTATGTGGAGTCTGGGCAGAGTTGCCACTCAAGCATAAGCAGAGTCCCAGGAACCTTGGATCCCTGGCCATCCTGGCATTAGAAGCTGCAGCTCTGGAAACAGGGGAGGTCAGTCTCCCTTGTATGCCCCCACGAAAGGGGCTAAATTCGGGTGGTTGAGCAGTGATGGACTTCAGGACTCACCTCTACTGTACCTCCCAGGATAAGGCCCACTGAGCCAGTACTCCAGCCACACCCCGCTGGGGCTCTCAGGCTGATAGTAGCTCTGAACTTCCCTGGGATGGAGCTCCCACAGGGAGAGGCAAACCATCATTTTTGCTGTCTTGCAGCCCTCACTCCTGTTGCTTTTGCCTTCAGGCTTCACAGGGTGCCCAGTGTCTAAGGACTTGTGTAGATCCCCAGCACAATGCAGCTGCCTCATGGAAAAAATGGTCAGACCTTTTCTACATGGGTCTCTAATCCCAATTCTCTTTACTAGGTGGAGCCTCCTGACCTGGGACTAGAGCACAACTAAACTGCCTCCACCTGAACACTTTAGTGGGAGGCAGCTCTGCAGTGCTCTGAGGAGGAAATTACAGAGACAACCCACAATGCCTCCACCACTGCAGCTGCAGTTGTACCACCCTAACTGCCCTCAGGCTGGGGAAGGAACAAAGGGCCTATTTAATAGTTCTAGGCTGGCACCTCACGCACCCAGCAGCCACTATATGGAAATAAATTTAGTCCCTCTACCCTGGGAACCCCCACCGCCTACTCTTCACCAGGCAGTATTCTTAGCACAGGAATGTAGAACAGCCACCCAACCCATGGCTGAGCACACCCACTGGTAGTTGTGAAGTGGTGTTGTTCATCTGTGTGGAGTGGTATTGTTCATCTGGAGTAATACCTAAGTTTCCTTGCCTCATGTCAAGGAAATTGAGGATGCACACACACACAAGGAGTGAGTTTAAGAGCAGAGGCTTAATAGGCAAAAGAAATAGAATGCTGCTGTCTCCTGCAGAGAGAGGGGCTCCTGAGTGGGTCTTCCAGTTCTGTCATGAAATGCAAAGGGTTTGTAGAGGAGCTAGAGGAGGCAATGTCTGATTTACATAGAGCCCAAAGGATTGGTTGGACCAGGTTACCCATTTACATAGCTCGTGAAGAAGTTGGCCTCCCCACCCTAATCTTTCATTATGCAGATGGTTCTTTACCTGGCCAGAGCCATGTTGCCTGTTCCTTTACTGTACACATGGTTGACAAAGAAAAGGGAAAATGGAGCCTCCACGTTGAACATGCCTGGCACAGAATTAGCCTTTTCCTATTGGTATAGCTGCCAGCATTCACCCGTGCAAGCTAGAGCTTTTTTTCTATGTCTGCAGTTTAATTTTCCAGGCTGCTCTTTGTTAGAAAAGAAATAACAGACACATGAAAAAATGTTCATCATCGCTGGCCATCAGAGAAATGCAAATCAAAACCACAATGAAATACCATCTTACACCAGTTAGAATGGCGATCATTAAAAAGTCAGGAAACAACAGGTGCTGGAGAGGATGTGGAGAAATCGGAACACTTTTACACTGTTGGTGGGACTGTAAACTAGTTCAACCATTGTGGAAGACAGTGTGGCAATTCCTCAAGGATCTAGAACTAGAAATACCATTTGACCCAGCAATCCCATAGCTGGGTATATACCCAAAGGATTATAAACCATGCTACTATAAAGACACATGCAGCACTATTCACAATAGCAAAGACTTGGAACCAACCCAAATGTCCAACAATGATAGACTGGAGTAAGAAAATGTGGCACATATATACCATGAAATACTGTGTAGCCATAAAAAAGGATGAGTTCATGTCCTTTGTAGGGACACGGGTGAAGCTGGAAATCATCATTCTGAGCAAACTATCACAAGGACAGAAAACCAGACACCTCATGTTCTTACTCATAGTTGGGAATTGAACAATGAGAACACTTGGACACAGGGTGGGGAACATCACACACTGGGGCCTGTTGTGGGGTGGGGGATGGGGAGGGATAGCACTAGGAGAAATATCTAATGTAAATGATGAGTTAATGGGTGCAGCACACCAACATGGCACATGTATACATATGTAACAATCCTGCACATTGTGCACATGTACCCTAGAACTTAAAGTATGATAAAAAAAATTAAAAAAATAATAATTTGGGTGCTGATTTTTGTTAAAAGGGAAACCTTACAGAGGACTCTCTTACCTTAACTGCCTAAATCATTTCCTTTTAGCTCCTGTATCAGTGGCTCTGAGATTCCCTGGAGAAGGGCTCCCAGAGGCAACTGACAGCCCCTCTGCCACTGCCACAGCAATGGTTCTGCCCCTGCTGCCCTCAGTGTAGGGAAGAAACAAAGTACCTGAAGACTTCACCTATGTTTCCAGCATGCCACAGTCACTATCTGGAGAGGAATTTAGTCTCTTCTCCCTGTAAGCTCTTGATTCCTCACTCCTCAACAAGCAGGGCTGCCAGCTCAGGCCAGCAGTGAAGTTGCCCCATCTGCTAGTTGAACATTTCTAGTTTCCCTGAGGAGGAGCTCCCAGAGGCAACCAAAAGCCCCTCTCCCACTGCCACTGTAGTGGGGCTGTCCTTGCTGCCATAAGACTGGGGAAGGAGCAAAGATCTTGAGTGCTTTAAACTACAACTCCAGGAAGCTGCAAATGCTCTAAAGAAAAGAGGCTAGTCTGTCTCTTCTTTGAAATACCCTCCCCACCCCATGCTCATTAACAGGCAACCCAACCCCCCTGCCCTTAGACTCACATTGCAGATGCTGCATGCCAGGCCAATTGCACTAATTGACGGTTGCTCTGCATTTCTCTGGAGTGGAGCCCCAAGAGGAAAGTGAAAGGCCCTCTGCAACAACAACTGCTAAGGTTCTTTCCCCTGCTGCCTCCAAGCTGGGGAGGGGACATAAAGCCTGAGCTCACCCCAGAGCTGTGATATCCAGCCTGGGAGTGCCAAGCCAACATCTGCAGCGAGCACTCAAGAGGGATAGGAGCTCATACTTTCAGAGAAGTGAGAGGGAGCAGGGTTGCAATCATGAGGAAATACAGAGGGGCCGTGTGCCTGAGCAAGAGCCTACCAACTGGTCATTTCACTTAAACATCACCTACTCGATCAAAGACCAAAAAGCCAACACCAAAAATACTCTGCCAAATACCCCCTTGTGAAACCATGGGGAAGAATTCAGCTATAAATAAAGATGCTGCACAAAGCCTTTGCCCTCAGAAAACATATTGAAAAGAAATCTATTAACTATATTCAAATTGCATCACAGTTCAAGGAACACCAGGTCACACAGATGAGAAAAAAACAGCAAAAACTCTGCCAACTCAAAAGGCTAGAGTGTTTTCTTTTCTCAATGCAACTGCACTAGTCTCCCAGAAGGGGTTCTTAACTGGGCTGTAATGGCTGAAATGACAGAAATGTAATTTAGAATATGAATAGGAAAGAAAATTATTGAGATTCAGGAGAAAGTTGACACCTAGTGTAAGGAATCTAAGGATTACAATAAAATGATACAGGAGATAATAGATGAAATAGCCATTACAAAAAATAAACAAACAAACAAACAAAAACTGTTCAGAGAGAGCTAAAAAACACACCACAATAATTGAATAATGCAATTGAAAGTATCAATAGCAGAATAGACCAAGCTGAGGAAAAAAACCTCACAGCTTGAAGACCAACTCTGAAATTACTCAGTCAGAAAAAAAAAAGAAAAAAGCATGAAAAAGAAAGAACAAAACCTCTGAGAAATATGAGATCATGTAGAGAGACTCAATCTATGACACATTGGTGTCCCTGAAAGAGACAGGGAGAAAACAAGCATCATGGAAAACATATTACAGAATATTATCCATGAAAATCTCCCCAACTTTGCTAGAGAGACCAAATTTTAAGTTCAGGAAATGCAGAGAACACCAGCAAGATACTTCAAAAGAAGACCATCCCCACAACACATAATCATCAGATTCTCCAAAGTCTCAATGAAAGAGGAAATGTTAAAAGCAGTTACAGAGAAGGGGCAGGGCACCTACAAGGTGAAACCCATTAGGCTAAGAGCAGTCCTTTCTACAGAAACCCTACAAGACAGAAGAAATTAGAAGCCCATATTCAGCATTCTTGAAGAAAAAAATTGCAACGAAGAATTTTATATCCAGCCAAACTAAGCTCCACAGCAATGGAGACATAAGATCCTTTCAGCAAATGGTAAGGGAATTTATTAACACTAGATATGCCTTACAAGAGGTCCTGAAAGGAGCACTAATATGGAAAGAGAAGGTCATCACCAGCCACTAAGAAAACACACTTAAGCCCACAGACTAGTGACTCTATAATGCAATCACACAAACAAGTCTGCATAATAACCAGCTAATAACATGATGATAGGATAAAATCTGCACATATTGACACTAATATTAAATATAAATGGGATAGATGCTCCAACTAAAAAGCAAAGAATGGCAAGCTGGATAAAGAAGCATGACTCAATAGTATGCTGTCTTCAAGAGACTCATCTGATATGCAGTGACACCCGTAGGCTAAAAATCAAGGGATGGAGAAAACTCCACCAAGCAAATGAGAAATTAAAACAAAGGAAGGGGTTGCTATCCTAATTTCAGACAAAACAGACTTTAAACCAACAAAGGTCAAAGAAGGCAAAGAAAGGCATTACATAATGGTAAAGGTTTTAATTAAACAAGATTTTACTATTCTAAATATATATGCACCCAACACAGGATCACTCAGATTAATTAAGCAAGTTCTTAGAAACCTACAAAGAGAATTAAATTCACACATAATAATAGTGGGATAATTCAGCATCCCACTGACAGTATTAGACAGATCATCAAGGCAGAAAATTAACAAAGATATTCAGAATCTGAATTCAACACTTGAGCAAAAAAACCTAATAAACATCTACAAATCTCTCCACCCAAAACCAAGAGAATATACATTCTTCTCATTGCCATATGGCACACACTCTTATACCAACCACACAATCAAACATAAAACAATCCTCAACAAATTAAAATTAAATTAAGATTATACGAACCACTCTTGGACCACAATGCAATTAAAATAGAAATCGATACTAAGAAAATCATCCCAAACCAATCCATTACATGGAAATTAAACAACCTGCTCCTGAATGACTTTTAGGTAAATAACAAAAATAAGGCAGAAATTAAGAAGTTATTTGATACTAATGAGAACAATGTTGCAATGTACCAGTATCTCAGGGACACAGCTAAGACACTGTCAAGAGGGAAGTTTATAGCACTAAACATCCACATCAAGAAATTAAAAATATCTCAAATTAACAACTTAATATCACAACTGGTAGAACTGTAGAAGAAAGGGCAAACCAACTCTAAAGCCAGCAGAAGACAAGAACTGAAATCAGAGCTGAAATCTAGACATGAAAAAAACATACAAAAGATCAATGATGCCAGAAATTGTTTTTTTTTTAATTAATAAGATAGAAGGATTGCTAACTAACTGATTCTAAAAAACTGAAGAGGAGGGACTCCCCCCTAACTCATTTTATGAGGCCAGCATCATTCTGATACAAAATCTGGCAGAGACACCACAAAAAAAGAAAACTTCAGACCAATATTCTTGATGAACATAGATGCAAAACTCCCCAACAAAATATCAGCAAACCAAATCCAGCAGCACATCAGAAAGCAAATTCACCATGATCAAGTAGGCTTTATCCCTGGGATGCAAAGCTGGTTCAATATGTGCATGTTGTAGAAAGTTTGTGGAAGATTAATCTTATGAAACAAATTTTGAGTGTAATCAAGTTAGCTAAATTCAGAAGGGAGTTATTTCTAAGTTTTTCTAAAAACTGAGCATAAATATCAAAACCACACTGAGCAAGGCAAGAGCCTCGACAACAGAGCAAGACTCTGTCTCAAAAAACAGAGAAACACAAACAAACAAACAAAAAATGCAGACATAAGGACACACAGAAAGAGAGTTTTATAAGGTTGTTTATTTGTCAGTTTTCAAATAACCTCCTCCTTTTAGATTCTCAAGACCTAAACAATTGTTAGCTAGGCAACCCTAAATTTGCACTTCTAGACATGGCTCTTAGGTAAAAATTTGCATCCCCGAAGCACGGAGCTCATATCTAAATGCCATTGTCTGATAACACAAAGAAGGGTGTAGTTAAATGTCCACTCAAGACATGGTTTCCAGGAAAAAGAATCCTAAACAAAGATAAGGTTTGCTATATAAACTTTAAGCCAATGTCCCTCATCCTGCAGAGAGGAAGATGGCCTTACAAATGGAAATTTACATTATAGATGTGCATTTCTTTTACAAAGAGTTTCCAAACAGCCAGATAAATGCCAGAAAGTCCTATTTTGGGGGCCAATGTAGTTAGATAGGTAATCTTTTCAATTAATTTAATTATTATTATTATTATATTATTGTTAACTTTGGGATGGGGCCCTTTAATGAATAGCAAGGAAAGCATTTTCTATATCTGGACTCAGTATGGTACACTGAAAAAGAAGCAAGCTCAACTTTATCTGAGAGCTTATCTTTGATAAACACTTTATCCAACTTTTTGTTTTTTAAACCAAAGGTATCTTTTCAAGTAACTCATCAAAGCCAATTAGCCTTACCCAAGGTTATATCTTAACCAAAGCTGAACTAGGTGAAAGAATTAAAATATTTTATCCCAAAATATATTTATTTGACACATTTGTCAATGGCTGCCACTTGGCCAGCATGCAGAAGTGGCCTCGCAAAGCTGTCCTAAATGGGGAAAATTTGTTTCTGTAGATAATCTCCATCAATGCAGCCATGGCCCCCTTTCCTTTCTATGCTTTTCCCTCAATCCCACAGAGTTTGAGAATCTGACAACTTTAAAAGTTTGAAAAGAAACTTTTACCATCTATTCTCTCTGAGAGTCTTCATCTATACAACAAGGCCATTTTTGAAGCCAAGCTTCTTCCTTTCTCTCTCTCTTAACCTGTCTTTCCATCAGAGGCATTCAAACCAGAGTGACTCCATTTTGAGTGAGGACTAGGAAAATGAGTCTGAGACTTGCTGGGTGGCATTCCCAAAAAGTCAGGCATTTCTAGCATCTAGATGCTTACAGTTAAGGGGAAAAATTAATAATGTTTACTAAACAGATCCAGACTTGGGAGCATCCAGATATCCCAATATCAGAACAAAGGCATTCTGAATTTTGCTTTAAAGATAAAAATATTGATTCTTGCAAAATATAGTAATGAAGAAAATCAATCCTTTGTCACAAGCCCTTGTAGTACATCTCCCCAAGATCTTTTTTATTAATCCTATATATATATACAAGTACTATACCTCTAGTGGACATGTTCCTCCTCTTACTTTCAGCAATGCCCTACTCTGTCTGTGGATTAGCTGTTCTTTCACTACTTTACTCTCTTCATAAACTTGCTTTTGCTTTGCACTGTGAACTCACCCTAAATTCTTTCTTGGGCAAGATCCAAGAACTCTTTCCTGTGGTCTGGATCGGGACCCCTTTCCTGTAACATTTCCACTAAACCTGATTTACCTATTTCCGGCCATGCTTTGTGCATTCTTTATCGTAGGCTCAGGATGAGTAAGTTTCTGTAACTCACTGGAAATTTCAGTCTTCATTCTGAAGGTTCCTGTGTATACATGTTAAATAAATTTTTATGCCTTTTCTCCTATTAATCAATTGGCCTCATGCCAGTAATTTTTTCAGCAAACCTTTAGGGTGCCAAGAGCCTATGGCTCCCATATAGGCACCTCCAAAGAGGTGCAAAGCAATCCTCACAAGATCCATGTCACGTGCATCCGTGTGAAGAGAGTCCACCAACAGGCTCTGTGGGAGAAACAAGGCTGTTTATTTCACCTGGGTGCAGACCTGCTGAGTCTGAAAAAGGGGTCAGCAAAGGGTGGTGGGATTATCATCAGTTCTTATAGGTTTGGGGATAGTCAGTGGAGTTAGGAACAATGTTTTGGGGGCAGGGGTGGATCTCACATAGTACATTCTCAAGGGTGGGGAGAATTACAAAGAACCTTCTTAAGGGTGGGGGAGATTACAAAGAAACTTCTTAAGGGTGGGGGAGATTACAAAGTACATTGATCAGTTAGGGTGGGGCAGAAACAAATCACAATGATGCAATGTCATCAGTTAAGGCTATTTTCACTTCTTTTGTGGATCTTCTGTTGCTTCAGGCCATCTGGATGTATATGTGCAGGTCACAGGGGATATGATGGCTTAGCTTGGGCTCAGAGGCCTGACAATCCAGAACCACTTAAAAGACAGCTCTAAGTCTTGCTAGCTGCAAATAAAATACAACCCACATTTCTGTCTGGCCATATTTTCTAAGATCTCAACTTCTCAGCCAAGCACTTGTGCATGAAGGCCCAAAAGTCCTGTATTCCCCACAAACAGAAAAAGAGAAGAAATCAAAAGCTGTCCATGGGAAGAAAATGGGTCAGTTACAAATGAGTACCCCAACAGGTCAACAGTTAGACAAATAATTTAAAACAAACCAGCAATCAAACATGGACTGCAACCATGAAGTTGGAGTGCTTCTGCAAATCCTGCTGGAGGCAGGCAGCTTGAGTATTTAAAAGATTTTAACTTGTTTCACATTTGGTCTCAGCTGACATGCTGCTTAGCTAAGTCCCTGGCTGTTACCATTTCAGAGACATGAAAAGGTTTACATCAAGGGATTGGCAAGTCCAGCAGGGCATTTAAAGAGTATTGTCTGATATTGGGTCAGTATATCATCAGCATCAATTCATTAGTTCTCATTTAGAGAGGAAAAAAAATTGTGGGATCTCTATTTGATAATGTAAGTAGTTTCATTGTCATTCTGTCATTGCTCCATTTGTTCCCTCTGTTCCCAATGTAAATACATTTCCTTCATTGAGAATAAAATGTGTGCATTGTGGAATTCCAAAAATCTCTGCCTAATAGATGTCTGAGAGCTAAGGGTTCAAGCAGAAAGGGATGAAGTCACATCACAGTGGTAGAAGGAGAAAGAGCAGTTAAAAATGAAAGTGAAAAAGCCTGCAAACTCTTTTAATTTATACATAGTTTCAAATATTATTTTGTTTACCTCCTCAATGGAGGCAATTTTTTTCTTTTAGAATTTTTTGAGGAAGCATTTAAGTATTGTTGCAAGTAAATCTCCCATTCAGTATATCTGGTTCTAAAACCAGCTTTTTCTAATTGTGTGTGCAGATAAATGAATTTAGGTGTTTCAACAATACCTCGTTTAACCATCACAAGTTATATGTGACCAGTTCTCTAAACAGTTTCCTGAAGAAGTGCTGTAAGTATTAAACATAAACCCAGCTCGTGTTTCTAATGGTTGATCTCTCTTTAAGGAAGAAGACTCAGTTTTAGATAATTGAACCAAGATTCAGAATCTGACCACGTGAAGAGATTACAAAGTTTGCTTATGTTACAGTAGGTAGGTGGTCAGACATGAGCAGGGCAGGAGAGTACCCCCAACTCCCACAACCAGGAAAGTCAGACAACCATCAGGTGATGGTCAGGTTGTTGTTAACTGTGTCTCTAAAATAATAATTGGTTGCAGCTGGTGCCAGGGAAAGGCAGTTTCCCAATAGATAGAAAAAACCTAAAATTGGTAATCAGCAGCTTCCTAAGATATCAGGAGTTGGACAAGTGGGTTCAAGCATGTACACTAAGAAGCAAATTGGCAGAGTTTAACTGGTATATAACCTTCTATGAACATCTGACTGGGAGAGGAAGAACATTTTAAGTGGGCATGCATACTACTTTGGTTAAACACACTGTGCATACAGCCCTTCCCAAGTGTAGGCAGGACACTGCACATGTGGAAAGCTCAACCCAAGGGAAGAATCAAGGGAGAAGAGATGCAGACCTTGGAAGAATACAAGTCAAAGGTCAAACCACACACTTGATCTCTCAAGTCGCCTTCTTGGCCCTCTTCCAAGTGTGCTTTACTTCCTTTCATTCTTGCTCTAAACTTTTTAATAAACTTTGACTCCTGCTCTAAAACCCTCCTTAGTCCCTCCTTCTGCTTTACGCCCCTCAGTCAAATCTCTTCTGAGGATGTGGCAAGAATTGACATCACTACAGACCTACAGGATTCACTGCCACTAACACTTAAGCCATAAACATTTATTTCCTCTTTTTAGAGAAAAACTGTGTTTTTCCCCGACCAAATTTTGAGTAAGAGGAAAGGTTGAAAACTCTAACAAGAAAGACAAACAAAAGTTTAATCTCAGAGAAAAGTGTCAAATCTGCAATGATCAGAATCTCCAGAGAAGCTCTACCTTTCAGTATAGCTTAATTTCAACCCCATCAAGTAGGACTGTGTGTGGCTTAAATAAAGTCTTGTTTTTTTTTGTTTTTTGTTTTTTTGTTTTTTTTTGAAACAGGATCTCACCCTGTTTCCCAAGCTGGAGTGCAGTGGCATGATTTCAGCTCACTGCAGCCTCAAACTCATGAGCTTAAGCAATCCTCTCACTTCATTGACCCTGAGTAGCTGGGACTACATGACCACATTTTTTTTTTTTTTTTTTTTTTTTTTTGATGTAGAGACAAAGTTTTGCCATGTTGCCCAGGCTGGTCTCAAACTCCTAAGATCAAGTGATCCACCCACCTCAGCCTCCCAAAGTACTAAGATTATAAGTATGTGGCAGTATGCCCAGCCTTAAACAAGGTCTTAATTCTCAACTAAACCAGCTGGATTCAGATCCCAAGAGGGGCCTTTCCAGAGATCCCTGCCAGCTACTATGAGGTTGAGTGAAATAGCCATTTGTGCTAGTACCAAGGCTTTTGTGTGTGTGTGTGTGTGAGATGGAGTCTCACTCTTGTCACCCAGGCTGGAATGCAGTGGCGCATCTTGGCTCACTGCAACCTCCATCTTCTGGGGTCAAGCAATTCTCTTGCCTCAGCCTCCCAAGTAGCAGGAACTACAGGCATACACCACCACACCTGGCTAATTTTTGTGTTTTTAGTAGAGATGGAGTTTCACAATGTTGACCAGGCCGGTCTCAAACTCCTGAGCTCAGGTGTTCCACTAACCTCAGCCTCCCAAAGTGCTGGGATTACAGGTGTGAGCCACCACACCTGGTGGTATCAAGGTTTTGATTGATATGAACCAGTGGGAATTACTGAAGCTGGGCTTTAGATCCCTTCATGGTTGCCAAAATGTTAACCTTAAATAATGAGATTTAGAAAATATGATTAAGTATAGAGTTTATTCTAGTCTAAAGCTTGAGAATGGCCACCAGGGAGCAGATATTAAAATTGCAATAAATATACACTTCAGTTAGCAGCAATTACAAGTGGGTTTTATAGAAAAAAAGGAGAGGCAGTTTCTAAGTTGTTTACCAAGAATCATCATTAAAATAATATAAATAAAATATAACATAAAATAATAAAATTTATATTTATGTAATTTATATTATATTATACATTATAATATATTATATGTTATAATATGCATTATACATTATAATATAATTTATATTATAAAAAATATAAAATAATATAAATTACAATAATATAGGCTATTGTTTGGTTACACATTGTATCACAAACTCCAGGAACATGAAAATAAAGGGTAAGTCAGGAGCAGAATGCCTTAAAACAATTCCGGTTCCTAACACCCCTCCACCCTCCTACACCCCATCCCCACCCCCAGTGCGGGTGTGTGGAGGGGGTGCTGTGACTGAAGTCCCATACTCATATCTTTCTGGGCTTAATAAGTTTTGCAGGCTTCATATAGCTGAGGCTGCTCAGAGCCATTTTTCTTTTCTCAGCATCTACCATAAAGAGCTAAAAATAGAAGAGCAAATTAAACCTAATGTAAGTAGAAGAAAAGAAATAATAAAGATACCAGGGAAATCAATAATAGAGAAAACAAAGAGTAGAGAAAACAAATGAAATTAAAACCTAGCTTTCGGTTCTATCCCAGGAATGCAAAATTTTGTAAAATTTGAAAATTTGTCAGTGTAATACACCATCAATTGAGTAAAAAAAAACAAAGTTATATCAAAAGATATGAATGAAACACGCGAAAATAGTTAAGAAGCCATGGAACTGAGACTCAGGTCTCAAAAGTTTCCTAAACTTTTATATTAATGAAGACATATTTCTCAGTTTAATATCATTATTGTTTTATGACCTCAGCAATTTAAGCAACTAGATATTCATCTTCTTGGGGCTATTTATTTAATTTTGGTAACCCCAAAGGATGAAGATTACTCATGCAAAATTTTTTGCAGTATGGCTTTGGATCCAGTTTCCTTAAAGTTTTGAAACTACTTGCAACAGCATTAAATTTAAATTTGTTATTTAATATTTTTAATAATATTTACATAATTAATAGATAAGTATATATTTAAATATAAAATTAAAAATATATATATTTATATTATATGTAAAATTAAAATACATATACTTATATATTTATATTTTATATATACTTATATATAAATTAAAATATATGTATTTATATTGTATGTAAAATTAAAATATATATACTTTAATTTTATATATTAAAGTATATATAATATATTATATTTTATATATATAATATGTAATAAATAACTTTATTTATTATATAATATATAATATATTATATATATTATTATATATAATAACATAATATATAATATTATATTATATTATTATATATTATAATATATAAGATATAATATAATATATAATATTATATTATATTATTATATATAATATATAAGATATAATATAATATATAATATTATATTATATTATTATATATTATATATATAAGATATAATATAATATATAATATTATATTATATTATTATATATTATATATATAAGATATATAATATTATATTATATTTTTATATATATTTTTATTATATATTATATATATATTATATATATATTATATATATATAATATATATCATATATTGTAATATAATATATAATATATAATATATTGTAATATAATATATAATATATAATATATTGTTATATAATATAATATATAATATATAATATATTGTTATATAATATAATATATATAATATATAATATATTGTTATATAATATAATATACATAATATATAATTATATAATATAATATACATAATATATAATATAATTATATTATATATTAATATAATATATTTATATTATATATTATATATTTAATATATTTATATATTATATATTTAATATATTTATATATTATATATTTAATATATTTATATATTATATATAAAATTAAAATATATATACTTTAATTATATATATACTTATATATTTATATTTATAGGAAATATAAATATATTTAAATTTCATATATACATATAAATTTATATAAGTATATTTATATTTATATAAAATATATGTTTATTTTATATATAAATATATACTTACCTGTTAATTATATATTATTAAATTATAAATATAAATTATTAAATATAAATATAATTAAAATTTGTATATACTACATAATACTTATATAATATATAATAAATATATTACATACAACATATATGACATATATATTTTATATATTAACACATATTATATTTAAATATAATATATACTATAAAGTTAATTGTGTCACTTTTCTTTACAATGTAAGCTATATTATAAGCTGCAATCATTGTTTAAAATGTAAGCTAAAAGTTTAAATATAATGTGTAGACTGTAGAATATATTTTTGAGATTCACTAGGCTTATTGTGTGTATTGTGTATTAATTTAAAAATACATCTGTCTTTGCTTCTTTCGAGCAAAATATATATGGTATTTAATTATTTCAAAGTGAGTTCTAAAACGTTATACTTTGCTTGAGTTTAAGTCTTTTTAAAAAATCAATAGGTAACAACTCATTTGACATTGAATATTTTGAATTACTGGAAAACCTCCAAGTTCCTAATCTGTTCATCCTTAAAAATAAAGTAAAGAACAAAATAAAACATCTTTAAATGTCATTTGATTAATAAAATGTAGCTTTTATGGAATCTTGAGCTTAATTGGATTGCTGGCATTGCTGAACTCAGATTAAATGCATTTGGATCAATATTAATTGGTTCAACTATGGTGTGTATATCATTGAGTTACTCATTGTTGGATGAATTACACCCCTGCCTGTTTTTGGACAAATTTCTGTCTCCTCTATGATTAAATAATGTTTTAGATAAGTTATTGTTTAAATGATGGCCAGATTCTAAACTCAAAGGATTATATAACTGGAAAACATCACAGCCAATCACTGCCATAAGAAAAAAGACTATCTAGGGAAGACATGATTTATAGACCCTTCGTAGTTGTATTTATATTACTGTTTTCTTTTTTAAATTTGTATACACACAAGAAAAGAATTATTGAAGTAGATGCTCTTCAGTGTACTATCTTGTGTCTTCTTCAAGAACAGAAAATGCTAGAGCCCATCAGTTGTCAGACCCCACCTAAGAGAAATTTAAGCTTATTGTCTCCTGGGTGATGACAAGACTAGTGCAGGTATGCATTAATTCGTTTTGTTGATGCCAAATGCTGAACAAAAATTGTATTTGGCAAAAATACATGGCTGAAATAATATGTGTGGATATTTCAACCTAAACTTACCCTTATTATTGCTACTTTGTTTTAGATATTTTAATATGTATCTATTTCTACATACCAAAAATGTCTACCACTAAACAGATTTATATTAGGAGATTTATTGCCACAATATTATTTAATCTGTATTACTAGTCTCTCCTCTAAAATAAGTATTCATCTCATTTTAGCGCTAGAGTTAAATGTTCTTCCTATGGTTACACAGCTAGTAAGATATGGCTTGGGATTACTCACCATGATTTATTTCTGCTCCAGAACCCAGGCATATTTTTCTTTCATCTTACAGTCTTAGAGAGATAGATCACATAGTGACACAAAATAAATACTATCTTTTAATTTTACTAAATTCATGTCTGATAAGTAATATTGTAATATTTAAAATGTTTATTTATAGACCAGAGCAGGTGCAAGATGCCAAGAATGCTATTTTTTTTTTTTTGAGACTGAGTCTCGCTCTGTTGCCAGGCTGGAGTTCAATGGTGTGATCTTGGCTCACTGCAACCTCCATGTCCCAGGTTCAAGCGATTCTCCTGCCTCAGCCTCCTGAGTAGCTGGAACTACAGGCGCGTGCCACCACCCCCAGCTAATTTTTGTAGTTTTAGTAGAGATGGGGGTCACCATATTGACCAGGATGGTCTCGATCTCTTGACCTCATGATCCACCCATCTTGGCCTCTCAAAGTCCTGGGATTACAGGTGTGAGCCACCATGCCTGGCCAACATCGTTTTCTTGATATGTGTGTTGTACATGCGAATTTTGTAAATTATGCATTTAAATTTTCTAGTAATTGTGAATTTAAGTAAATAATTTCCAGAGATGGAATGACATTATTTTCCTATTCACAAATTTGACATCATACATTTAGAATTGAAAAGGTGACCATAGCTATCTCACACAACACATAAATGGCATGCACTCTAATCTTATTCTCTGCCCATTGATCCTTGAAAGCAAAGGATGTGCCTTATTCATTGTTTGGGGCTCAGCATCTGTCATAGATTAGGGCCATAGAAAACTTCTAGCAAATTAACAAAAAGGCTTTATAAAAGCAAAAAGTTACTCTTAAAGGTAAAATTAAGGGGGCGTAGACCCTCATTCAGATGAAAACTTTTTTTTCATCTTTCGCATTTGCCTTTTAACCCATAACACAAATGCTATTTCTCACTCCACTCCCAAGCCTTCTGGAGGCAGTGGAAGTGGCATGAGAGTAGCCTCTAAATTGTTTGAACAGATAGTGGCAGGTATTGTCTTCCGGCACTAAGACAAGTCACTGGCTTTATTTGTTAATCACATCCTAATCACACCCTAATTCTTGCCCTTTAATTTGCAAATAAGGAAAACAATTATGAGTCAATTGTTAATTAGAGACTTCTCCAGCTGGAGGGAAATTAGCCTACCTGAGTTAGATATGTTTACTTTCATTCTTACTAAGTAGAGTACTCAGAAGGTGTGTCTTCTTCTGAGGCTTTCACTTGGCAAAGATAAAATTAGTAGTCTCTAACGTATAGCTAGTAGAGACCAAGCAAAATATGATTTGTTGTCAGTTGCATCTTTTCTCTTGCCAGAGGCAATTGATTACTGAACTCGTTATAGGTTTAGGAGTGTTGAAGATCATCAGTATCATAACCAAAAGGAAAATAATGTGTTTGAATGTGTTATATGACTTATTCAATTTTTCCTTTTCTGCAAGCACAGTAAAAATTCTCTTGGTAAGGACTGAGACTCACTTACTCTATTATCATATATCCAGGACTAAACAGTGTCTAGCATATGTGAAGAATAGTAAATAAATATTTATTGAATAAATGTTACCATGTGATCTTTCTTGAGAGAAGCAGTGACACAAAAATTGAAAACGTGGTCCAAATCCAATTTGGACTCTATTTTCATGGAGAATTTGAGGTCAACTTATTAAATGAATATTCAACATATTCTGCAGAATGAAAAATAAATCATTGTTATTTTTCAAACTGTTTCAGATACAAAAGAAATCCAAAACAACAATAATTAAACAAGAATTTTTTTTTTTCAAACTTGGTCAAATTCATTTCAAAACAAAACTCAATGCTTTGGAATATGTGCAGCTAAAACTAAGTTTATCACTTTACATCTGAATTAAGTGACCTTGTTTTCTAGAAAACAACCTCAGTGAATGAAAGATACCTTGCTGAGCATCAGAAGACAAAGATTTAAGGACTAACTTCTGAGAACACTTGTACCATCAACAGCTCTGTGTTTTGAGTGTACCCAGCTCACTTGGTGTTCCAATACCAGAGCAACAGGGTGGCCAGCAACAGTGTCCTAATCATAAATAAACAAGAGCCAGATGTGGATGTTTACAGTGAGCCTTTCACGGGAGGCCTTTTTTTTTTTTTTTTTTTTACCTGGTAGAAGGCTTAATGCCTAGTTGTCCTGCCTGAGATAGAGAGCCCCTCACACGGAAAACTTGTTTATACTGGCAGATGCCATTGTGGCTCTTCTCTGACCCCTGATCAGTTTATTCCTGTCTGAGCATCATTCTGGTAATGGGAGAGCTCACCTTGTACACCGCTTTGAACTAAACTCTGATTTTTTGTCTTGCCCAAATTCCTATTTAGGAGTCCTGGGGAGTCATGCCCTACAAATCATAAATTCTTATCAGATGGGTTTTATTTAGTCCTATATATCGTGACTTACTTTCCAACCTGACTCTGGCATAACATTATGAGACAAGGAAGAAATCAAATTATTTTGCCCCAAAAGATGTTTATTTGACATATTTTGAAATGATCCAGCAAAGCTGTTCTTTGTGGGGGGAAAATTTTCATCTGTAGAGAATCTTCATTAACATAGCTAGATCTTTTCCTGCTAGACCTTCCCAATCCTAAACAGATTAATTAAGATCTGAATAGAAAACATTTGTCATCTATTGTCTCTAAGGGCAGCCATTATAAGACTTCAAAAGAACTTTGGTCTCTACAACCTTTTATCTTAACTTGAACATCCCCTTCCTATCAATCCAAGGTCTTTAGACAAACTCAGCCAATTGTCAATCAAAAATGTTTAAATTCACCTATAGCCTGGAAGCCCCCATGCTTTGAGTTGTCCTGCCTTTTTGTACCAAACCAATGTATTTATTAACTGTATTTGATTGATGTATCATGCCTCTCCAAAATGTATAAAACCGAGCTGCGCCCCAACCACCTGGGGCACACGTTCTCATGACCTCCTGAGAGGTTACTCATATTTGGCTCAGAATAAATCTCTTCAAGTATTTTACAAAGTTTGACTCTTCTCGTTCAAACCGCCCCCCAAAGCCCCACCCCACTGTTCCAGGAAAAACCTGGCCTGGGGCTGCCTCCTAAAGAACTAGGGTGTAGTGAAGACTCAGTCACAACTTGAGTCATCTCTCCTCCCTGGCAGAATGGGCTCCCTTTTTGCCTATCCTTCCTGTGAGGAACCATCAAGGCATTTGCCTGCACTGACTTAAAGTTCTTATCTGTGGCTTGAGTCATTTGGGTGTGGCATAGAACTAGAAACTGTGTCGATGGTGACTGAGCCCTGGTATGAGAAAGTAAAACGTGTATTCAAAATGAATGCCCAGGCAACATACAATTTTAAGAATTCTTTACACCCTGAAATTCCATTTCCTCATCTCTTAGGTTCTTGATTTGCTGGAGAGTATTCCTATTAGGATAAAAGAATATAAGGAATAAGATGCTTTCTTTATAAACTACAAGATCTGATAGAGTGTCAGCTGTACCTTGTGGTGCTGTGCAATAAAATGGCTTATGATGTCTGAGTCAGAGCTTCTCAGTTATAGCTCATGGAGGCCTCTGGGAAAAAATGACTTATTAACGCTGAATCATTCTTTTGTCGTTTCTTAAATAACAGGGTAAATTTAGCAATTATTTGTAGTCATGACACATTCTGATTCTAACTGGAGCAAAGATTTTGAAACTTTAAACCAAATGGAACTGAGCATCATCCATCCATTCCACAGACCTGTCTGGAATAATTTTAACCAGGAATCTTAGTGCCCTCCTCCAGCAGCTCTTCCCCAGAGAGTCATAAAGTGATTTTAAAATTTTTATCTGTGATTTACTAGCCATTCCCAGAGGACAAGCCTGCTGATAAGAAAAAAAAAAAAAACAAAACTATTTGGCTTGCTTTTTCTTATTTCTTCACTTTTAATCCATCTGAATGTTCTCTGTATAGCTTGGGTTATTTATCAAAACCCAAAGCACTATGCTTAGAAATAGTATCTTAGAATAACAGCTAAAGTTATCCTTAGGATTAAAAAACAGAATAAATGAGATTTATTTTTATGAGAATCATAAAGTTAGAAGAAATTGGAAGTCTTGTCCTTAAAAATAATCAGAAAAGTAACAAAAAAGAAAAAATCTTATATCACAAGGAAGGAATTTTGTTGTTAATAAAAATGACTTTTAAAGGGGAGAAAGTGAAGTGTTAACATAAGACTGGGCTGTAAGGAATTCCTGATAATGTACTACAGCTTTGCAACATTTAATTCCCACAGACTGTCAGAAAGCTGATTAACTGTAATCAGGAATATGATGTTTGCCACATATTATAGGACCTTTTCGTTAGTGTGTTTTATTTGAGAAATTAAATATGTATTTGACCACTGCTTACATAAACAAACTCAAAAAGAAATTTCTCAAATATCCATCATAGCAAGCATTTTTCATACTACAGTCATACTTTATCTAAACAATCGTTTACTTAGATTTATCCTGGTCTTTCACTTTCTCTGAATTTACACAATGTCAGGAAAAAGTTTTGATACACAATTACCTTGAACCAAGTTATTTTATTTTTTAAAAAATAGCCCTATTACAATATAATTCACATGCCATGTAATTCACCCACTTGAAGTGTATAATTCACTGGTTTTTAATGTATTTACAAAATTGTGCAACAGTCACAACAATAAGCATTTCCATCACCCCGTAAGGAAATCCTGAAACCATCATCAGCCACTCCCCATTTCCCACCAGCCTTAGGTAAAGATCAGTTTACTTTCTGTTTCTATAGATTTGCCTGTTCCGGACATTTCATATAAATGGAATCATACAATTATGGTCTTTTGTGACAGGCTCCTGTAAATTAGCATGTTTTTAAAGGTTTGTCTATGTTGTATCACTATAAGTATTTCATTTATTTTTATTGCTGAATAACATGCCGTTGTATGGTTATACCACATTTTGTTTCATTTGATGAAACATTTTGGTTGTTTCCTCTTGAGGGCTAATATAAATAAATACTGCTATTTTAGAACTGATCTGTCCTCTTAATGTTAAAATTGAGCAAGTCAACCTGGCTTATAATATGAATCACTCCCTGTGACAAAACACACTTACTCTTTAAGGAGTCCAGGACTCCTTAAAATTTGGATTTGAAAGATCAAATTGGGGCCAGGTGCAGTAGTTCATGCCTATAATCCCAGCATTTTGGGAGGCCGAGGCGGGCAGATCACCTGAGGTCAGGAGTTCGAGACCAGCCTGGCCAAAACGGTCAAACCCCATCTCTACTAAAAATACAAAAATTAGCCTGGCATGGTGGCAGGCGCCTGTAATCCTAGCTACTCAGGAGGCTGAGGCAGGAGAATTGCTTGAACCTGGGAGGCGGAGGTTGCAGTGAGCTGAGATTGCACCATTACACTCCAGCCTGGCGGAGAAGAGCGAGACTTCATCTCAAAAAAAGAGAAAGATCAAATGGGGATGCTCTGTAAATTACTATACTTTACAAATAATCGGTGTCCCTTGAGAGCATTGTAGTGCTTGAAGTTTAGAAAAAGCTGTTTTTTCATTTGCAAAGAGATCTACCTTTCAGGAGTATCCATATACTGAAGATAAATGTAGGAGTTTAGGGGCTTTGATATTTTTTATGAAAATAGAAAAGAATCCCCAAAACAATAGTGATAGCCTACCACCTCACACATCCGTCATATGGACCACAATTTTTAACATACATGGAAAGACAGGAAGCATTATTGAACACATAAAATGAGAGCAGATCCCAAGCTAACTAGGGCAGTAGAAAAATATTCTTTCGCAGCATTCATCAGTTAACTTACTAATTAGCATTATAATTATTCTGAAGACTAGGAACATTTCCCCTGGAAGGTTCCTTTTTTTTTTTTTTTGAGACAGAGTTTCACTCTTGTTGTCCAGGCTTGGGTGCAATGGCGCGATCTTGGCTCACTGCAACCTCCGCCTCCTGGATTCAAGCAATTCCCTTGCCTTAGCCTCCTGAGTAGCTGGGATTACAGGCATGCACCACCACGCCCACCAATTTTGTATTTCTAGTAGAGATGGGGTTTCACCATGTTGATCAGGCTGGTCTCGAACTCCCGACCTCAGGTGATCTGCACCCCCGCCCCCCGCCCGGCTTCCCAACGTGCTGAGATTACAGACGTGAGCTACCGCGCCCAGACTGGGAGGTTCCTTTTAATCAGGAGTGGCAAGAGGTACCCAGCTGACTTAAGGATACCTAAAAGAATATCTTTATGGTAGAACTACTATCAATAGTTAACTTGGAGTTAAGGAAAATTCAATATTCTTGCTTTTTACTTAGTAAATGTATCTTAAGCCTTTGTCTTGTTCTCATCACCTTAATTTCCAGTATTCCCTCTTTCATATATGGACCTCAGTGTTCACAAAAGATATTTTACCCATGTATTAGCACTCTAGACAGGAAAAGAAAAATGAGAAGTGATTTTATTTTTATTTTTATTTTTTCTGAGACGGAGTCTCGCTCGGTAGCCCAGTCTGGAGTGCAGTGGCATGATCTCGGCTCACTACAACCTCTGCCTCCTAGGTTCAAGCAATTCTTCCTCCGCCTCCCGAGTAGCTGGGACTACAGGCAGGTGCCACCACGCCCGGCTAATTTTTTGTATTTTTAGTAGAGATAGGGTTTCACTGTGTTAGCCAGCATGGTCTTGACCTACTGACCTCGTGATCCACCTGCCTCAGCCTCCCAAAGTGCTGGGATTACAGGAATGAGCCACTGCGCCAGGACAATTATTTAATCAATTAAAAGAATGATATTTCCAGCCAAACAAAGAGAAAACCAGTGTACAAAAATGCCTGTCTTCTGTTTTTGAATGAGTATTCAAACCCTAGCAAGCTCTCTTATAGTTTTAGTCTCGAACAAGTTTGAGATGAGTCAAGAAGCAGCCAATGAGCTTATACAGATTTCTAATATTCAAGACTTTTAAAATTGGAAATGCCTCAATAAAGGGAGGTGTTACATGCTCCATGAAAGGAATCCATAATTGAATAATTAAGCTGACTGATTCGGCTGTTCTGAGAGCAGTACCTATTATCAGTAGGAAGAAATATTTTATAACTCTAGGAGAGGAGGTCTGTATGAAAAATTGATAGGCAATATCAACTCTTTAAAGAACTGAATTTATTTTTGGCTTCTTAAGTAGTAAACTAAAGCCTTCTTAAAATTCATCTTAAGTGATTCTAATTATTCTTTTATGTTGTTATTTTCTGTTTTTAATGAACTCTTCTTTCAGTTGTATATTTCCTTTTTTCCAGATTTTTGCTTTTCAAATGTACAGAAAATTTCAAAGAATGCTTCAATAAACACCCACATGCTCTGTACTTAGATTGACCACTTAATATTTTGCCACATTCACTTTATTTCTGTCTGAGTATATGGGAGGTGATAACTCTATACATAGCTAGATAGATAAGATACATAAACAATAGATGTAGTCACACTGTCTAGACTAACACATAGATAAATGATAGGTTGGTAAATCGATGGATAGATTGATTTACATAGGTCTTTATGGAACTATTTGAAAGTGGCACACATTATAACACTGTTAAAAAATAGCATTTATTTCCTTAAATCAAGTAAATTATTTTACAAAACTTTAATAAAATTATCACACTCAAGAAATCTATTGCCTATCCCATTATGGTTGCCAGAAAATTTACTATTGCTGTATTGCGTCCAGAGTAGGTTCCTTCCGGTGGGTTCGTGGTCTCGCTGGAGCCATGGACCTCCACAGTGAGTGTTACAGCTCTTAAAAGATGGCACAAACCCAAAGAGTCAGTAGCAGCAAGATTTATTGTGAAGAGCAGAACAAAGCTTCCACATCATGGAAGGGGACCCTACAGGGTTGCCACTGCTGGCTGCAGTGGCCAGCGTTTATTCCCTTATTTGACCCTGCCAAAGTCCTGCTGATTGGTCCATCTTACAGAGTGCTGATTGGTCCATTTTACAGAGCACTGATTGGTCCATTTTACAGAGTGCTGATTGGTCCATTTTATAAACCTCTAGCTAGCCACAGAGCGCTGATTGGTGTGTTTTACAATCCTAGCTACAGAGTGCTGATTGGTGCATTTTACATTCCTCTTGTAAGACAAAAAACTTCTCTGAGTCCCCTCCCCACCCACCCAGAAGTCTAACTGGCTTCAGCTCTCAATATTATTATATAATATTCTGTCCCCATTTAAATTTCTACAATTTTCCCAAACGCATTCTTGATTATTGTTTTCTTTGATCCATGAGATAATCATATTTTATGGGTAAAATGTAGTTGTTTTGCCTTTTTAATTTTCTTTAATCTAGAACATTGTCACCATCTTCCTTTGTCTTTAGTATCATTGAATGACATTTTTGAAGAGTTTAGATAACTTTTGTTTATTTGTTTTTCAAAAGTCTCTTAATTTATTTTTTTATTTTCCTCATGATTTTGTACAGATTAAATATCTTTGGCAAGAATAGTATATAGGTGATGTTTCCTCCCTTTTTTAAATTAAAGATTGTTTCATAATCTTCTCCCACTTCAAGGCACTCATAGTTGTTGGCATCTATGTACATAAATGTTCTTGGCATCCTTCTTTTTTACTTTCTTGACCCTTATCGTTTTTCCATGTAGCCTTCTTTGAGAATATTCTTCTATTATTACCTAATGCTTCATTTTAGTAATTATTCCTCTTTGACAGATATTTTATTATTTATATCTAATTCCTAAAGCGTTAACATTGTGATTACTCCTAAAATTTTAATCTGTGAAGTATTTGTTTTTTCCAATTCTTTCACTTTGATCAATAAATTTTTATATTCTCTACATAAAGTTTGTATTATTGCTTATGGAAAAGACTCCCATGTTCAATGTTGTTTCTTTAAACTCCCTGCTATTTAGTATCCAAATCACAGATCTCTCTGCATCTTTTGTCATTTTATATACTTAAAATATAGTATATACTCAAAATACAATATTTGCCTTTTAATGCATCAGACCTTATCTTGAAATAAAAACTGAAGTACAAAATATCCATTAATACATTAGTAAACTAATTAATAAATACATTTTTATAAGATTTATAGCTGATTGTCAGACATTATAAATTTCCAAATATGTAAATTGACTTTAGAAAGTAAAACTAAAAGGCTTTTAATTTTTTTTTTAATTTTTATAGATAGGGTCTTGCTGTATTGCTCAACTGGAGTGCAATGGAACAATCATAGGTCACTGTAGCCTCAAAACCTGAGTCTCAAGCAATACTTTTGCATCAGTTTCTCAAGTAGCTGGGACAACCCACACACACTACCATGTCCAGATAACTGTTCATTTTTATTTTTTATAGAGAAAGGGTCTCACTATGTTGTTCAGGCTGGCCTTAAACTCCTGGCTTCAAACAATTCTCCCACTTTAGCTTCCCAAAGCCCTGGGATTATAGATGTGAGCCACTATGCCTGGCTGGCTTTTTAATATATATATATTTTTAATTTTGTTCTCAATTTTAGATTAAGGTTAAAAATATAGTACTGATAATTTCCTTGAATACTGAGGACTATTTTTAAACTAGGATATTTAAATGATAACCTAATGATGATTTTTTTCTCCTTTGGTTAAGGATTCTCGATTGATAGTTAATTAATTTGTGGTTGAACTAACTGAAACATCATAACAGATCTGAGCAGACTAAACTGTAAAAGGAAGTGATAACTATGTGAATATGGGGTTGTACTATGTCACAGATATGCAGACCCAAGGACATCTGAAAGAAATGTTCTTAATGTATAGGTTTTGCTGTCATCAGAAATATTTGGTTAGTGATTCCAAGTTGATTTGGTATTATTGTTTCTTTTTGCTGGCTTTTTTTTTTTCTTTTTGAGACAGTGTCTCACTCTGTCGCCCAGGCTGGAGTGCAGTGGTGCGATCTTGGCTCACTGCAAGGCCCGCCTCCCAGGTTCAGCCATTCTCCTGCCTTAGCCTCCGGAGTAGCTGGGACTACAGGCGCCCGCCACCATGCCCGGCTAATTTTTTGTATTTTTAGTAGAGACGGGGTTTCACCGTGTTAGCCAGGATGGTCTCGATCTCCTGACCTCGTGATCTGCCCACCTCAGCCTCCCAAAGTGCTGGGATTACAGGCATGAGCCACCACACCCGGCCCTTTGCTGGCTTCTTAATGGTAACAATGCATGTGGTGGTGGTGGTGGTGGTGGTGGAGGTTTGTGTGTGGTGTTAATTCTCTCCTTTGGTATCCAGTTAGTTTTGTTTTGTGTTTGATCTGTTTTGTGGAGGCCTTTGTATATTATCTGGCCCTATCCAGATATGATGAGCTATATTTTTCAAATACAATTTTAAATATGGAAATTAAATCTTAAAATAATTTTTCAAGCTTTGTCCAATGTTTTACTGAAAATCATTAATTTAGTATTAATTGCACATATTTTTATGAGCTACTTTGTAAACACTTTTTCAAAAAACACAGTTCCTACTCTTTGTGAGCTTTTGATCTAGTTAAGGAATAAACTGGAAAATCCACTTGTGAATTTCTATTCATTGAACAGAAAAATGCAATGAAGCCATAAACATTGGAGTAATTGATGATGCATGAGGTTAGTCATAAAATATTTACCTATCGTTTTTTCCTTAATCTTTAGCTTTTTTAACTAATTTTTCCTCTATATACATCTTATTATCTGATAAAATGATAGGAATCTCAAGGCAATAGATTTCATATTTTCCTTCAAACTTTCTCATCAAAACACATCATATTAAGTCATGCTACAGCTAAGTTGTGCTCGTCTCTTCCAAAACAATGCTGCTCTATAGCATTACAACTGTTCATCTTACTGGCATCTCTGAGGCTTTCCCTAAGCTACAATTCATATTGGAATGGTTTTCTTTCCCTATTCATCTTTCTTTTTCATAAATCTTATAAGCTTCAAATTCTTATTCATTGAGCAGGTTTTCTTGAAGAATAAAAGTAACAAATAGTCATTTATCTGGTCGATCTTCCCTATTTTTTCTTTATTTCTTTTCACACTAAACTCACCATCCCTTTATTTGCACTCCTTATGATTTATGCAGTACATATAGAATCTTATCTGTATCACGAGCAATCATCTCATTTGATTTTTGATAGGAATACCAGATCACATTAATGGAAGTATAACAATTATAAATTACACATATTAAAGTTATTCGTTCTTTTCATGTTAGATATGCTTGAAATCTGTCATGCATGTATAAAAAGAGAAATCTCATTTCTTAAAAAACAGTATTCACGAATCATGCTGACAAAGAGTAATAAGTTCTTGTTTGGTTTGAGAAAATGTAACATATATGTATGCATGAGATTTTTCAAGAATGAATATGGGCAGGGTGTGGTGGCTCACGCCTGTAATCCCAGTACTTTGGGAGGCCGAGGCCAGCAGATCACGAGGTCAGGAAATCGAGACCATCCTGGCTAACATGGTGAAACCCCGTCTCTACTAAAAATACAAAAAAGTTAGCCAGGTGTGGTGGTGGGCGCTGTAGTCCCAGCTACTCGGGAGGCTGAGGCAGGAGAATGGCATGAACCCGGGAGGCGGAGCTTGCAGTGAGCCAAGATCACACCACTGCACTCCAGCCTGGGCGACAGAGTGAGACACTGTCACAAACAAACAAACAAACAAACAAAAAACAAAAAAAAATGAATATGGAGGAAAAATCTATTGAAATAAAATTTAATAAGGTATGGTTACATAATTTAAAATAGGATAAAATTAAATCTTGATGCTACTTCTTTCTATTGACAAAGGCAGTAAAACAGTCAAATACATTTTTATAAAACATGTTTCTGATAGTTTTCTTCTGATTTTCTAACAGATACATTTCATAGTAGGTAGGGATTTTATTTATCAGAAGTTCTTAGTGAATTTTTGAACTATGAACTTTTGAGGCTATGAATGAAGTAGAGAATAAATTGCTCTATGTTAAAGCAAGAGAGATTCCAAGTTTCCAGTGACAATGTGAGGGGCATAGGAAGACCAATAGATAATTTATAAATAAACTTGATTTGGCGATGATGGAGAAGTCCTCCTGAGGTCCTGAGGTCTCACCTGCATGGCTGGATGGAGAATGTTACCATGCACTGAAATGGAAATATTGTTTAACAGCCTCTGCTCCTAAGCATGCTTTAAGCCACAAAAAGCTAAACCCAGCTTTAACAAATCGGCTTAATAAATCTAGAAAAGTCATCTTACTTTACAACTTTCACACTATAGGAACCTATTAAGTGTTTTGTATAAAGCATTTTCTAGGATATTTGTCTATCTGGTACACAAGAACACAAACTGGAGCAGCCATGATATACTTAAAAAATAAAATCCCTGCACCTACATACATGTGTCATCCATCTGTCTGTCTGTCTATCTAGCTAGCTAGCTACCATGTGTTTAAGTATCTATCTAAGTGGACTCCTTGCTATTCATGCTAAAAAATTTCAGATGGCTCATCTGTGAAATAAAGGCAGTGAGAAATATTTTCCATTCAGCAGTAATAGACCTGAGGGATAATTTTCAGCTCAAGCATAATTTTCCATCTACATATTCAAAAATAATAAGGTCAGGCATGATGGACATAAGAAGCATTCCTGACTATCACTGTCTCTGTCTTTCCCTTAATGTGCTGAACACAACCAGAAGGGTAGGTGAGCAGGGAGCAGCTGATGCAATTGCTTTCTCTGAATACTTTCTTCATATTCATAGCCACTTCATCATCCTTAAAGAGGATATGTTGACATTACAGTTATTAGCACTGTTACTGGAAGACATTAGTGGTCACAGTGTGAAGCAAGACTGTGAGACAAGTATGACAAATAGAGAAAGTGAACATGGCGTGCTCCCCCTCCTGTTAACTCACCAATAAATGGGAGGGCTTCACCCCAGACTCGCCACACCTAATCCTCCATACCACTCTCCTCAGATAACAGAATTTGGCTACACATCTGAACGCCACATTTATATTTAATACTTGTGCATTTTCTCTATCAAAGCAGGGAAAAAAGCCTCCTTTAATATAAGTTATCTTTGGCAGGCTAATCATTCCACAGACCAGTGTAAATTATTTTCCAAAATAGCTGAAGAAAGTCACAGTGATAAACAGGCTGGGGCACATCTGTCTATGCAGAGCTGAAATTGTTACTACTGAGTGAATCTTCTGTATTCTCCTCACATCATTGCACCCATGGAGTGCAGCACAAATATCCTCGTTAAATCAAATAAAAATAACATTTCTCATTTGATTGCATTTATTGTATGATGGTGGATAGTGATTTACCTTCCAATGCCAGATGCTCTTTCCCCAGACTCTTTTACTCTGCCTCTTTTCAGAAATTCTGACTTCTACCCACTTCACATTTCTCCAGCTGTACACAATCCTGACTTTATTTCATGCCATAAATTGCTTCTACTTCATGCTATTTCATTAACTTATGTCTATATTTCTTTATAAAGACTTTGAGCCTAAAGCTATGTCTGTACATATTTACATGTTCATTTTGCTTTAAAAAAAAAAAAGAGTGTGGCCATGCTCTATGATTGAAGATATAAAAGTTACTGAGGTTTAAAACTGAATCTGCAAGAAGATCTATGCAAACTCAGCAAATGTCTTGGTCAAATAGTTCTGCCTCCTTGAGAGGGGGATAATTTATGGGGCTTAGACAGCAACTGAGATCTTCGGAGCTTCTGAGGTAACAATGACCTTAACTAAAGGGTTTTCATTGATAGTCTTGTTTAAAAAATAAATTACCATTCTTTTAACTTGGTTATTTACATAGTTCTAGTCACCTGAACCCACAATTGTGCATTTGTACATTTTTTTTCTTTTTAAACTAAAATGTCCATTATCATTTTATCCTATAGTTAGTGTTGTATATATCTGAGTTTGGCCTGTTGGCCAAGAACCACATCCACTTTAGGTTTTGTGCCAGAATTTTATATTTTAATGTATTATTATTAATAGTGTGGCTGGGCATGGTGGCTTATACCTATAATTCTAGCACTTTAGGAGGCCAAGGTGGGGGGATCACTTAAGCCCAGGAGTTTGAGACGAGCCTGGACCACATGGCAAAACTCAGTCTCTACAAATAAAGTAAAAATGATTAAAAAATAAATTAATTAATGGTTGCATTAAAATAAGCCTGGCTATGCTTGGCCTAACTCCCTATATTTTTTCTGCTAGTTTGTACAAGTTTCCTTTCTAGTATTATTGAGATGCACGTGCAATGAACAACTTTCATACTTGAACATGTGGCAAAACCTGAAAGACAACAAGAGGTCACCTGTCTTTTTTTGACCCTTTCTAGACAGATTTTAATTAACATCTTACTTTAAAGGGCAAAATTCAGAGGACACACAGGTAGAATAAAGTGTTCTTGAACAGGACTGGGGTGAGATAACCAGCTATTTCTAATCTTCTTTGGTGGTGAGAGAAGTAGTCTAGACTGTGTCGGGGGCTGCTTGGTGTAACAAGCAGTAGTGCCTTTCTTATAGTGGAAATCTGTTAGGTCCCTGATTCCCAGGCTTCCAGTCTTTTGAAAGAATGAAAAATGATGGAAAATAATAGATTAGGTCTAAGTGAAACGAATTCAAGCGACAGGATGAGCATCCCTGCCTTAGAAAAAGGCATGGTCTGAATACCTGACTACTGGGGTTTTGCAATTTATTGCAAGGCAACTACTGGGATTTTGAAATTTATAGCAAGGTAAAAAGTAGTAAAACCAAAATAATGTATTCATTTGATTGTTTGGTAATGCTTTTTATTCTGTTAAAACAGGTTTTACATTAGCAAACTAAAAACTGAAACCTTGTGTTAACAAAAAAAAATACTGAATTTATTGATTAACTGAATTTCTATTAATCAAGAATATTATAAAAATATACAAATAAAAGCAAAATAAACAAGTAGGACTATATTAAACTAAAAAGCTTCTACACAGCAAATGAAACAATCAACAACATGAAAAAGCAACTTATTGATTGGGAAAAAAATATTTACAAACCAAATATTTGATAAGAAGTTAATTTCCAAAATATATACAAAACTCATACAATTCAATAACATAAATAAATAACAACTAAATTATTATGGGCAAAAGACTTGAATAGACATTTTTCCAAAGAAGACACACAAGTGGCCATCAGCTATATTAAATAGTTGCTAATCATCGTGGAAAGCAAATCAAAAACACAATGAACTATCACCATATAGCCAATTAGGATGATTGTCATCAAAAAGACAAGAGATAAGTGTCGGTAAGGATATGGAGAAAAGGCAATCATTATCCACTGTTGGGGGGATATAAATTGGCATAGCCATTATGGAAAGCAGTATGGATGATTCTCAAAAAATTAAAAATAGAACTACCATGTTACCCAGCAATCCTTATTTGGAATATATACCCAAAAGAAATAAAATTATCACCTTGTAGAGTTTCCATGTTACCATGTTTATTGCAACATTATTCAATATATTTATTGCAACATTATTCAACATGTTCCCATGTTTATTGCAACATTATTCAACAATAATCAAGATATGGAAATAACCTAGGTGTCTGTTAATAATTGAATGGGTAAGGAAATCATGGTATACAATGAAATATTCAACCTTAAAAAAAAAGGAGAATATGCCATTTGGGACAACATGGATAAACCTGGGGGGCATAATGTTAAGTGAAATAAGAAGCCACAGAGAGAAAAATATTTCATGATCTTACCTATATGTGGAACTTTCTAAAAAGTCAAATACGTAGAAACAGACTGCAGAATAGTCATTACCAGGGGTATGGAGCGGGGGCAAATGGGGAAATGTAGGTCAAAAAGTATAAAGTTGCAGTTATGTAGGATGAATAAGCCTAGAGATCTACTGTGCAGGCATGAGAACTATAGTTAATATTAAGTTGGTGCAAAGGTAATTTGCACTTTTAATGGCAAAAACTGCAATTACTTTTGCACCGACCCCCATATTCTATATTGAAAATGTAAAGAAAGGTTAGACTTTAGGTGCTCTTACCACACAAACACAAAGTGAACTGTGTTAAGTGACGGATATATTAATTTGCCTGATTATAGATATCATTTCATTGTGTATCATAGATCTTTAAAAGTTCATAGAAAATGCATATCATGAAAAAGTATGCATTAATTTCATTTCTTTTGCAGCACCAAAATAAACTGATGCTAACTTGTTATACCATATCTGAAGAGGCTCTAATTGAGGCACTAAGAAAAATAAGACATCAGTTTGAAAAGTGTCACTAACAGAGCAACATGAATTCTGCTAAAATTGAAGCAAGAATAAGCATCAAATTTATGATGAAGCTTGGGTGGAAGAACAGTGAAAACATTGATGTTTAATGAAAAGTTTATGGGGACAATGTCCCAAAGAAATCAGCAGTTTACAAATGAATAACTTGTTTTAAGAAGGAATGAGATGTTGCTGAAGACGAAGTCTGCAGTGGCAGACCACCCACACTGATTTGTAAGAAAAAAAAAATCTTATTTGTGCCCTAATTGAGGAGGACCAATGATTAATAGCACAAACAATAGCCAGCACCAATGACATCTCTTTGGTTCAGCTTACACAATTCTTACTGAAAAATCTAAGTTGAGCAAAGTTTCCACTCAATGTGTGCCAAAACTGTTGCAACTAGATCAGCTGCAAATAAAAACAGAGCTTTCAATGGAAATTTTAAACAAGTGAGGTCAAGATCCTAAAGCATTTCTTCGAATAATTGTAACATGACTTTATAGATATGATTCTGAAGACAAGATACAATCCAAGCAATGGCTACTGAGAGCGGCCAGAAGCAGCGAAAGCAGTCCAGTTAAAGCAAAAGCAGACCAGTCAAGAGCAAAGGTCATAGCAACAGTTTTTTTTGGGGGGTGCTCAAGGCATTATGCTTGTTGACTGTAAGGAGGGCCAAAGAACAGTAACATCTGCTCATTATGAGAGTGTTCTGAGAAAGTTAGCCAAAGCTTGAGTAGAAAAAATTACTGGAAAGCTTCACCAGAGAATCCTTCTTCACCACCACAAGGCTCTTGCTCATTTCTCTTACCATACGAGGGCAATTTTGCAGGAGTTCCAATGAGAAATCATAAGGCATCCACCTTACAGCTTAGGTTTGGCTCTTTTGTTTCCTAATCTTAAAAAAAAAATCTGTAAAGGGCACTCATTTCCTTCAGTTAATTAAAACAAACCAACCAACCAACCAACCAACCAACCAACCACACAGATCTGGTTAAATTCCTAGAAACTTCAGTTCTATAGAAATGGACTAAATGACTGGTCTTATTGCTTACAAAAATGGGCTTGAAGTTGATACAGCATATGTTGAGAAATGAATTGTATATGTTTTGGTTTTATCTATTAATTTGATTTTTTCTATGAACTTTTTGAAGCTCCTCCATGTACATCAAATATCATGTTGTATATCTTAAATATATATAAATTAAAATAATATTAATGAAAATGTAACTCGCACAGAATGTTGACAATTATCACCCAGCCAAGGAGACCACAATGATATCATTGACTATGTAAGAACTAGAAGAAAGGATTGTGTAATATCATTCTCTTGAAAAGTTAGTGGTTATTGCAGGCACGGCAACTCATGCCTGTAATCCCAGCCTGTAATCCCAGAACTTTGGGAGGCCGAGGCGGGTGGATCACCTGAGGTGAGAAGTTCGAGACCAGCCGGACTCATGGTGAAAATTTGTCTCTACTAAAAATAAAAAAATTAGCTGGGTGTAGTGGCGGGAGACTGTAATCCCAGCTACTCGGGAGGCTGAGGCAGGAGAATCACTTGAACCCGTGAGGCGGAGGTTGCAGTGAGCCAAGATCGCACCTTTGCACTCCAGCCTGGGTGACAAAGTGAGACTCTGTCACAAAAACAAAAACAAAAAAGGTTAGTGGTTATTTAAGAAGGCTTTTTCAAAGCTGGCAATTTACTTCCTGAGCTTCAAAAAGTGTATTTACACATCATTCCATAAGCATGACTTTTCATTTATATTAAATTATTTTTTTCTAATTTAACATTATTCATTTTTTATTCTTTTTTTGCAAATATGTAAAATGAAGTTATAACTCTTACTACAATAATTCCATTTTGAATTTGAGGTGAATTTTGCAGAGTTAAAAAATCCAAATCAGCTAAATTAATCAGTTAAGTTAATTTTAAGAAGAGGTCAGATTTTTCAGTCAACTAATGAAATTAAAATAATTTAAAGGTAAAAGGTCTTATGTTATTGTGACTAGTAGTATAAATTCGGTTTAAAAATTAACCATTAAAGTTTATTTTTTTTTTTGCAATGATCATCACAACATATGCATTTTGATAGAACATAATCATGGTAAAAATAATATTCTCACCAAATTAAAAAAGTTTGGAAACAAAATATACTTGGAAACATTCATACATCACAAATAATGTCTCCAAAGAAGCTGCACTGTTCAATAAAAAAGCTGTAATTTGATAGAGTAATTGACAAATGTTTATGTAGATATAAATAGAGTAATTAAGTTACAAAATTGTGTGATGAAGCTGATACTGAATGTGAAAAAAATATTCAACAAAACAGTATACATGTTCTTTGATCTCCATTATTAATCAGATTCTAGAAAGGCTTGAGGCTTTTAATAATTACCTTGTAAGTCACTGAGCGTTATGCACTTGCTTTGCATCTATTGTAATGGTATATCTTAAAATTACTTCGAAAGTGTTGAAAGTTTTCACTTGAAAACATTTCTTAGAATGCCTCTATAATTTTTGGCAACAAAAATTGCAAAAAGGAGAATTTTTAAGTTTATTTTTATTTCAAAAGAAAGAACAGAAAAATAATAAGTAGTGGGAGCTCAAGTGGTATACAAAAACAAAATTTAATATTTAATTTTGTTACTTGTACTTGGGCATTTCTTGAAGTTAGTAATAATATTTGATTGAGTTCATAGTTTTGTTTATATAAATTTTCAATTTCAACTTCAATGGAATAAAATTAATTGGTCTATAATTTTGCAGCATCTAAATGAAGCAAATAATTGCAAAAAACTTCAATAGGAGCAAGTAATTTAACAAGTTTCGGTTATAAAAGTATTTTCATAAATAAATGCCACACGTAGATAGGAGAAAATGGTATCTATAAAAATACCTGAGTTGAAATATTGGCACATTTCAGTGAGAAAACATAGAATTGAGAATATTTTCCACTTAGATATTTCTGTGTACTTATTAAGTACCTCTGCACTTGTAGATAAAGCATTTTCTCAATTAAAAATAAATATCATAGTTGAAGAAAAAAGCTAAATAAGGGTTTTAACTATTTCAAATACTTAAAGCATAGACTGGAAATTTTGAAAATAATTTAATAAATTCAAGAGATCTATTGTACACATGCTGACTGTTGTTATTAACAATGCATTGTATTCTTGAAAATCTCTGGGAATAGACTATGTGTTCTCACCACAAAAAATCAGTATGTGAGGTAATGTGTGTGCTAATTATTTCAATTAAGACATTTCAGAATGTACACATTTCAAAACATCATGCTGTACATAACCATATATACTTTTTTGTCAATTAAAATAAATACATTAATTAGAAGAATAATTTCCATTAATGATTTAAAATATTGTACATTCAAAAGTATATTTTTAAAAACTACCTTTATTATAAAAATGCTAGTGAAAGGATATTGTTAAGAATCTGATTAATAGACCTAACTCTGATACAAAGTCTGTATATTATTTAACATTTAAATAATAAATATAAGGAATTATTTTTCCTTTGATGCATATGAATATATTTTGATTTTTATGAAAAAAATTTATTCTTAAAATTATATTTAAATGGAAATATTTTGTTAATACCCCGTATATAATAGAATCATTGTGTGAAGAAATAAATTATATATCTATGTATCAGTGTCTCTTTTCACATGAGTCTCACTTTAGACAATAATATTTATGTTTACCCTTATAAAACAGCCTTTTGCATACTTGTAATTTCTAGGAATGCTTTTTTGCCCAAATTTAATTAATACAATGTTGCCTTAAAATATTCCTATAGACCACACTCTTTATATTCCTGCCCCTCTCCAGAATCTCTTGTACCAATTCAGACTGGAAATAAGCCAAAGGCTGTCTCTCTGAGTGAACGTTTTAGAAACTGTTAAGAGAAAAAGTATCTCCTACATAGATATTTTAGTTGCAATAAAAAAAAGTCCAGGAAATCATCAGGCTGGGCACAGTGGCTCATGCCTGTAATCCCAGTGCTTTGGGAGGCTGTGGTGGGTGGATCACCTGATATGGGTGGATCACCTTAGGTCAGGAGTTCAAGACCACTGTGGCCAACATAGCAAAACCCCATCTCTACTAAAAATACAAAAAATTAGCTGGGTGTGGTGGCAGGCATCTGTAATCCCAGCTACTCAGGAAGCTGAGGCATGAGAATCACTTGAACCTGGGAAGTGGAGGTTGCAATGAGCTGAGATCATGCCACTGTGCTCCAGCCTGGGTGACAGAGTAAGACTCTGTCTCAAAAAAAAAAGGAAAAAAGAAAAAAATTAAAAAGGCCAGGAGAGCATCAGAGAAACTGGTCAGAAAGTTTCTTCCAGTCTATATTCCTTATTAAAGAAAAAGTTCAAAATTATTATGTATGCACCCCAGCTTTTTCTCTGAGTTTATTGATCATAAAACCTCTAAGATATCCTGCAATCCAAAGCTGGCACTGCCACCTTGGTACTTTGAAGCAGATGAGCAAACAGGTGGCGCCCAGCCTACCATTACAATTATGACTCAGCCAACTTTATCAATGAGGGAAAAGGACATTCAGCCCTTAAAATTGTTTTTTCCAGATGTTGTAAGGCTAGAGGCCTCCAACAATCCAGGTAGGTCTTCTATCCACGAGATCCCACATTATGGTCACAGTTTACAAAGATACATTATTTTTCACTTCCTGGGATACAAATTAGAAAATATTTCCTTTAGGTATTTATGGAATCATGCAGATATACCAAAAAGATAGGAATCAGGATAAACAAGCAAACCAAGCATCAGATTTTTCTTCCCTGGTTTAGCCATGCAATAGCACTCTCACTAGGAAGTGTTCTTTGCTTTGTTTCTTTTTTCTATTTCACTCGATTCTAAAATTTCTAAACTTACATCATCCAGAAGGCCTCAGGGCTGCAGGAGCTTACGTTTTTAGATGAGCCTTATTCAAAGGCAGACTACTTCAAACTTGACAGCTTAGGGAAATGTGTTGTAAACTGTAACACAATTCATTTCACTTTGGATATGAAAATGTGCAGAGCACAAAAGTATTCCCTGGACGGTCTTCGGTGAGAAGTTGAAAGAACTGGTACTGTTCATAGCTTTGCCAGATAAGCAATTTCTTTTAATGTAACCTGAACAAAATGTGTTCCTGCTCAGCTGAAAAGATAAAGAGTTTTACTCTAAATGACTCATTAGTTCATTTTTGGACTTTCTTTACTCCAGGTATCTTTTTAAATAAGTGACGCTGTACACATTTGCCCTGCAAGCAACTGCATTCGTTTTCCACTGTTCTAATTTATTGCCCTGCAAGCTGAAGGCACAATTATTATATTTTTCCTTTCTTTAACATATTTTACAAAATTAATGCTTAGTTCTAAAATACATTCCAATTCCTTTATAAAGAAAATGGCATTCATCAAATTGTCTAAAATCTGGCCTACTCATGAATAGACTAGAATATTCAGAGTCACCATGTAGTTGTAGAGAGAAAGAACTATACTTAGGAACAAGAATAACAATACTTTGTAATGAACAAGCCATAGAGTGTATTGACAGAATATTGACAAGAAGACTCTTATGTTTGGAATCATTTCACATCTTTCCTGTGTGCCAAGTATGTGATTTCTTTGTTCTCAAGTGCAATTTGAGGCCTGAAACAAATACAAGACAAAATGTGTTAGGAAAAGTTTTTCAAAGCAAAATATTTTTCTCTATTATGTACAGAGGAGAAAAATGAATAGAAAATTTTCCATATAATAATTATAGGAAAAATAGTCAATTCTATATTTATCCAAAAACAATAAAGGAGTTAAATATAAACCTATTAAAATGTCAACTTTCTAATTATCAGTTAGCATATTTCTTATGTGGAATATCTATTCGGATTTAACATCAAAAGAACTGAAAGGCACAAACAAATAATTTACATTTCTAATAATTGACCTTATTCTTTAAGACTCAGTAACAAAGAAAATAAGATAAATGACTATGGCATATTGTTATTATTGTTTGATTTATTGTTGAATATAAAAGGAACAGATTAGAGAGCAATTTAGGGAAGTTGGATGGATATTGCAGAATTTCCATCAATAGATACATTTTCTAGGTTTATGAAGAGTTAACAACTTTACTGCTTTGATCTGTTAGCACTTGGTGTTTTTTGAAGAGCAGTTGCCCTACATATATTTGATTCACTTTACAACTGTTCTGGAGATAAGTCTGAGTAAATAGATAAAAACTCTGCAAGGTCTGGTTAAAAAATAAAATTAAAACTTGCAATATAATAATGTGGGTTTTTTATATTTTTTAATATATTTTCTCAGTAAGTATACACAGAAGATGTAGGATTTTTCTAGGAAAACATACTTAAGTAAATTAATTGTGATTTTGGTAATTTGTTGAAAGTGAGTACAGAAGAACTAAAATGTTGTGGTAGTGACATGTTATGAGGGCCAGTTTTTAATACTTGACTTAGGCTGACATGTGTAGTCAGGCATCTATCCCAATTCCTAAGCTGTTGCTGAGTATTTTTAAAATTTACCAAGCCTATTATGATGTTCTGCTATATAAAACATGCTAGAAATATTTTCAGTTTTTTCATTACAGAAATGACCCATAGCTTCTTATTTCAAAATCTCTGAATGCCTTTCTCTTTGTTTTCAGGTGCACAATAGCACATCTTACACACTTGCATGTTGTCAGTAAGTAAACGGGAATTGTGAAACTCTGGGTAAAATGTGGTCTGGTCCAGCTCCTGCTCTTTGCGATCACTTACTCGGAGTAAGTGCCTTGAAGAGACCCACAGAGCAGAATGTGCTACAAATAGGGAGATCATTCATCTAATGATCTTAGAGAAAAGTAATTACATCTGGACCATTGCAATGAATAACTTTTATAGCCTTCCCAGCTCTGAAACTCTGTCAGTTCTGTTTAAATCTGCCTTACTATTATTATTATTATTATTTTGGATTAAGTCAGGTAATTGTAGATTGTGACAGATTGGTTTCTTGTAAAATCTTGTAAAATCACATACCTAGCATTTAATGTATCATAGTTATGGTTTTTTTTTTTTTTTTTGCCATTTTCTACATTTGGGGTGTAATCAGAAAACATGTTACCCTCAGATGGAGAAATTGAGGGAGTTCAATAAAGAGGCTGTTGTCACAGGTTTAAGAAAAAACAGCAAAGAATAGTGCCGTGCCCTCTGGTTAGTAACATCAGGGACGTCCAGCCCTAGTCCGAACATGGCGAAGAGAAGGAGAAACTAATGGAATCTGGAAGAATACTTGTAAGAAGAAAGCTTCTCAATAAGAGCAGTAGTCTTCAGTGAAGTAGCAGAGTAGAAAATATCTTTAAAATAAGAGCAGTAGTCTTCAGTGAAGTAGCAGAGTAGAAAATATCTTTAAAATAAGAGCAGTAGTCTTCAGTGAAGTAGCAGAGTAGAAAATATCTTTAACTCCTAAGAGTAGATGTAGGAATAATAAACAACCTGGCAGAGTAAATAAAGGGACAAGATCTCCAAGCAGTGTAGAGGAATGTACTAATGATGGTGAAGATAACGTACCTACCACAGGACCCCAGAAAGATTTAAGATCTGGGAACACCAGATGTCCTGGAGGAAAACCTAGGCAAAGGATCGCCGGATCATCTGATTCAAATGCTGTGAGAGTCCCAATTTCTCGCCCACCTCATGGATCAGACAAACAATACCTCCTCTCCCCTCTCCAGTCTCTAAAGACAGTCTCTCAGAAATTTAAAAATAGGGAGGTTCTGCATGCACAGAGGAGGGAGTGCTGTGGCACAGGAATGAAATCAGGAATTTAAACAGTAAGTGTGAATACTCCCTTAGCAGGACCAAACTCCTTCATCCCAGTCCCACCTCCAGAATACTGCAGGCCAGCCTCATACTCTGCTCTCAGGACCTTTGCAGAGGAAACTAAGTTACCTATAGAAAAGATGGGTAAATACTTATATTAGGCTTTCCCCAAATAAAAGTGGGCTGGCCATCTCATCACCTCACTATAAGGAATACAATGGAAATATTAAATAGGACTTCTAATTTGAATACAAGCATCTCCAAAAGAAATGTCAGCCATGAGTTACCAGATACATGAGGAAAGCCTCCAAGAAGAAAAATAAGTAAGAGAGAGAATAAAGGAGGAAAAAAAAAAGAAAAAAAAAGTAGAGGAAGGAGAAACAATGAGAAAAAAAATTCAAAAATATATGATACTGCTTCTATGAAAAATAAAAAAAAGTTTTAAAGAGAACAAAAGAAACATGAAAATTTAAACTATGATAGTTAAAATTTTTTAAAAATCAATAAATAATGAGAAAACCAAACTGATTGAAACTTCCGGGAAGTATAACTAAATAAATGAATGTGTGACAGGAATGAAATGATCTCAGATTCAACTCAGGATGTCATATATAATTAATAAAAATTTCAGAAATAGACAAAACACTGGGAAGATATTTTCACAGAAATATTTTTTTATATTTCCAGAATTGAGTGCCCTATGTTTCCAGATTTAAATGGCTTACCAAGTACCCACCTCAACAGATTAGAAAGGTTGCTTAAAAACATATTTAAAACATGTAATAATTGCTAAGAAAATCACCCTCCCATTATAGGATGTGAGATGAAGAGGACAATTGGAAAACCCTATTTCTTTCAGATCTTGAAAAGATCTGACTTCTTTGGCTTAGACTTAGATTGACTTCTAAGGGCTTCCAAATTTTCTGATAATTAGTGTTTTCAAAAATCTAGTCTTGGGTTAACCTTTCTCGGCTTTTGAGTAAGGGTTTTTTAATGTAGATGTTTCTGAGCTCAAATCAAGACCGGCTAAGTGAAAATCTTAAGGGATGGAGCATAGGCATTTTTATTTATATATCCACCACCCCCTTACAGGTGATTCTGACACATTTAAGTTTATAAACAGCTCACTTTCAATTTTTTTTTTTTAAATGCATCTTCTATTGAAATCTATCACTATTTAAAGACTAATACAGGATAGATAGTTTTGTGTGAGTTTTTCAGGTTAAGGAGAAACACTTGGAGAATAGAAAAGGAAAGATGGGACTAATAGAAAAGAAGCAAGGTTGTAATCAACACAAAGTTTTCATACTTGATACTTTCTTTGGAGTGAGAACATAGGTATTGCAGAAGAAGGATGGAGAAGTTATTGGAATTTGGAAGAGTCAGTACCTAAGAGATACCAAATCTGTTTTTCTTTTTTCAAACATGATAATTTAAGAATGTTCTTAAAGTGGACATTAGTTAACAAGAGATTAAAATCAGTCAACTTCCAAGTGCCCCCTCCCACTGAAACACGTTAATTACTGAAAATATAATTGACAGCTAAATAAACATGTAGATGATTTTCTATCGCTATCTCCATATTTCACTTGAATGCCATTTTCTGTATGATCATTAGAACCTCTGGCATTATCTACTTGTGATTTTCTATCTGAGAACCATCCACAATAGCTTAATTAAATACGTATTTTTCAAAAAAGGCTCATAATAATGCCCTACATTTGCTGTTTTAGCAAGCTGAGGGCGCTTGTTGACCTTAGTTAATGGATGATTACAGGAGACTGATAAGTAATTACTTAAAATATCTCAATGTTTAGTTACGTAGAAACTCAAATCTATTTTATTAAAAAATAAACCCAAATAGATATTTGATTAATTTAATCATAAAGTATAAATATAATTTGATCCTCAATCAAGGTAAATAAAACATGAATAATTTTTTTAAATCTAAAATCGAAGGAAAAATAGACCAAATGTGAAACAATAGCAGATTATTCCAACTACTGAAACTTTTTCAAGCCTTCCCCAGTTGACTGGAAGTATTTACTTCAGCACTTCTCTTCCACTCATTGTGGAAAAACCTCTGATATCTATTTATAAATCTTGATGTAACATTCTAAAATGTGTTCCAAAATCATATTCTTTTATAGACAGCATAAATCCTCTAAAAATAGGGCCATCTAGGTCCACAAAGAAGTAATTCAAAAATAGTAGAAAGAAATTAGGGATCTTTGCCTTACAAAATTAGGCAGATATTTTTAAAAGCTAGTTAATTCACAAATCTTAGTGCCATTTATAAAGGATAAAAACAGACTAATGGAGTTGGCTGTAAGTTTAAAAATAATAACAATAATCCCATTCTTTCTGAACAAAAGAATAGTTCAGAGATATTTAGCCTTGGGACACCCGAAGAGACCAACAGTTGTCAGATTAGCCACTTGACACTTGGAAGGCCATTTCTTATGTGTTTGGGATTCAGTGGACTTGTGAATAACAAAAGGGTTTGAGACCAATCCAATAGCTTTCATCTATGTTTCAAAGACTGCTGGTGAAGACAGGAAGAGCCAAATGGACAGATGAGCTTCAGTACTACTTGTTGAATATTTTTGAGTTCTGCATTAGATTTCTTTGGAAAATAAATTTTTCCTAAAATATATATTTTTGGTTTAGTAGAAAAGAAGCACAGAAAATCCAGAAACTATGTCAGTAGAGATCTACCTCATCATAGGTGAACATATAGCATAGGACATGAGAATTTAGAAACAGGTCATATTTAGCACTAAGAAACACCCTCCACCAGGTAATTGCAGTCCCTGGATAGGGAAGATTGGAAGAAGAGGAAAGAGCCTCAGTCCTGGAAGGATTGTGATCTTGGGAAGTCATGAGTACACAGACTTGTGAACAGAGGAACAAGGTGTGAAGATACTATCTGCACAGCACTATAAAGTCGATTTAAGTTAGTCCGTGTTACTAAAACTGAGTCAGCATCAGAATGGACTAGCATCAAGGGTAATACATCTTTGTCATTTTGAAGGGCAGCAATTTAAAAAAAAAATTCTGATAATATGTTGGTCTTAGAACCTGCACTGGTGAAGAGCCTATAGCAGAAAAAAAGTAAATGATTCTCCTTCTTAGGAGAAGCAATTCAGAGAGAGGGAACAGAGCAAGGCTGTGGAGCAAATGTTGCCTTGATTTTCTTTTATTTTTATCAGATTATGAGAAGGCACATACACATGATAATAGAAAAAATAAATGTCAAAGTTGTAGGTTGTATGGAGGGAAATTTTAAATTTAGAATTTTAAAATTCTAAAGTGTTGATTGGGAAATAGATAAAGCAATGTCAAATCTTTCCTTAGATTAGGAAATTAGGTGGGATTTAGGTCTAGCTGAACATATAAAATATTAATAATTACCTCCCATTTATATAGGCTCAATAATTACCTGTTGAAACAAAAAATAAATACATGATGTTTGAATAAGCCTGACTAAACTTTCTTTTTAAAAGAAAATACTATACCAAGATTCTGTTGCTAGCATGCTAAGGTTAAGTACAGTCAATAATTTTATTGGAAGTTGCAAAGGTTTATCAAGCAAAAACTTTTGTTGACTCGGTACACAAAAAGAGAAAAGTAGAATGCTTTTGGCTGAAATAGGACAGTAAAAAGTAAGAATACGGAGAATTCCATCCACTTTGCATCCACTTTGCCGATACAGTGCGTCTGCCGTACCATGGCGTTCTGAGGGACACATTTTAAAATTTGTATGGAGACAGAACTTGCTACAGAAAACTTTAAGTAAATGTGATTGAATTATTTCAAGGCAAGGATTGGGTCTCCTTAGTTATTTAATTGCCCACATATTTAGCACAGTGTTTTGCATACATTTTGCATACTAGTTGAGAAAATATTTGTGGAATAAAAGAATGAATGCAAGGGCATAATCAAAGTTTGCAGCTACTTGATAAATTTTATGTCATTGAAAGCTCATCTGATTTTGCATTGCCGTATTTTGCAGCTATCAGTTTCTTAAATCTTTTCATCTATAACAAGAAAAGCTTATTTTATCAGGTTGTGTATGCAACATTAATATTTCCTCTAGGAAGATGACAATGTCTCCAAATTGGTACACAAAATATAAACAAAAAGTAAAAAGCTTTAGAAACTCAGATGGAGCTCTATCAAGCCTCTGAGAATAAATTTTCATCTGTCAAATGTCTCATCATGACTCGTGACCAACTATTTTGGGGAAGTATTAAGGACTACTTAATTCATGTTTAAGAATTTTTGTCTTCCATCTTTATATCTATTTGTTATTGTTCTCACTTTTATAAAGAAACTTATGAATCATAAATGTTTCATGTTTCTAATCGCAGCCACAGAAACTGAGAAACTCTTTTAGAAAATGCATTCATATTCCACCTAAGTATTAAATACATCCTGGTGTTCTATTGAAGATAAAATGTTTTACATGACACTAAAACATCCAAATACTTTGTTTTCACAATGCTACACACATTATTTGAAGAAAAACTGATGGAATATTACTACAGACTTCAAAGATTAGATCCAGCTTTATTTTTTCATGCAGATAATAAATACTTAAAAGCTACCATCAAAAGTCAATGCTAGGATTTTTTTTCTCCACTGTGAATGCAAGTACTTATTATCACACACCATCTCTACATAATTTATCATAGTATAAGTCAGTAGGACTTCAGCGATCAGCAGGTGGCCAATCAACACTCAGAAATGCCCAGTGGTTTAAATAACATAAGTAGATAACCTGCTTTACCATCATTTATTTGCTATTTCATCAAAGTTACAGAGCTTGAGGTAAAAAACTAATACTGGAAGTATTATTTCTGATCCTGACACACTAATAGGAATATCACTTTGCATTTGACTTTATCCAAGTTTTGAACAATATCAGGAACAGAAAAAATTTTTTTGAAATTTTAAATTTATGAAGGGCATTTCTTCCCATTAAAATAAGGTATTCATATTATTTTAATTCCATATTAATAAGATATACATGAACTTCAGTTTAACATTTTTGGAATAATTACCTTTATAACTATAAAATATTATAAATATAAGTGATATTATTATCAACCATAAAGGCACATGAAATTTCGAGGTGCACAGAAGGAACGAATTTGAAATATTACAAGTGTATTTGACATAGATGGACTGAACAGTGAGTACATAAATGGTAGACATAAAAGTGAGTAGCTGAAAGATGACATTAAAAACAAAAAAACAGTTTAAGCTGACTCAGAAGATTTTCAGAAAAACAATTATTTAAATAATATGATTCAACAATGAGAATTGTATGACTGAGTAGAGGCAGCTTGAGAAAATACATGTTTCGTTTGATTGAGGCATGTTACAAAAACTTCATTTTAGTTCCAAATATAGGTAAAAAAAAAAAAAAAACTACCACTAAATATTTCTTTCTTTTTGCATTCATGGAGTCAGTCATTGCGTTTTTCACTTTTTTTTTTTTTTTTACTTAAAGACATACCATGAAGAAACACCTCAAATATTACCTAATAAATCTTTTCTTTTTATTAGAACATCAGTGAAATACAATTATATATAATAAATATATCCATTTTAAATGTACACTTTCAAGCATTTTGGCCACCACAATGAAATGATAAAACATCTTCTTTACAAAAGAAAGTTTTGTTAAGCCCATTTGAAATCATTCACCATCCCCACCGGCTCCTGGCTCCATGCAACCATTCTGCTTTCTGCCACTAGATTTTTGTTTTGTCTGCTCTCAACTTTTGTACAAATGAGCTCATGTAGTTTGTACTCTTTTGTGTCTGGCTTCTTTTTCTCAGCATAATGTTTTCTTATTTTATCTATGCTGCATGATTAGAATTTTTATCACCAAGTAATATTACACTTTCTGAATATATCAGTTTATTCATCCATTATCTGGTGCATTATTTTTTCTTGTACATTCTTTTGGAAGTTTTATAGCTTTGGCATTTATGTTTAGAAGTGTGTCCATTTTAAATTATTTTTGTGGGTAGTATTATGTAAGGAATTATTTTCATTTTTTGCTTATACATATCTAATTTTTGCAGCACTATTTGAAAGACTTTCTTTTCTGTTTTAAGTTAGCTTAACATCTTTGTCAAAAATCAGTTGATGTTGTGTGTGGCTCTGTTTAAGGATTCTGTATTTTGTTCTACTGGCCTATAAGCTAAACTTATCCTTCCATCAATACTGTACTGTTATTATTATTGTAACTCTTGAAATCAAATTAAGTTACCAAAGTTTACTGTTTTTCAAAATTGTTTTGGATATTCTACTTTATTTAAATTTTCATGTAAATTTTAGAATTAGCTTATCAATATTTACAACAGTAGGCTGCTGGGATTTTAACTGGGATGACTTTGAATGTATATATATATATATATATATATATATATATATATATATATATATGTGAGAACTGATGTGTCAAAAACATTGAGTCTTCTAATTAATGAACATGTACATCACTATTTACTTAAATCTTTATTATTTTCCCTGCAATACTTTGTAATTTTAAATGGACAATACTAAAAATTCATTATTATAATAAACTATACTCAGAGATCTAATACTATTTCATGTAATAATCTTGGTAGATGTGGAAAAAATTTATTTGACAATGTGTGATTAAAAATGCACAAAGAAATCATCAGCCATTTATGGATATTTCTTTGACATTAATTTAAACACACAAATTTATTAATCATCAAGTCATCATTTTACTTAATGAGAAAACATTAAAGAAAATTTCACAAAGGTTAAGAACAAAGCAAATAAGTCCACTATTTTCAATATGACCAAAGATGTTTTGTATTAGCCATTTGATTTAGACAATATAAATGAATTAGGGAGAAAGAATTGAAACTATCTCTGTTTGCATTTGATATGATAATATACCTAGAAAATTCTAGAAAATGAATCACAAAACAAACACAAATGATAAAAGAATTTATTGTTAGAGTGCTATAAAATTAAATCATCACCCTTCAATACACACTGATAACTACTAGTTAGAGAAAATAGTGGTGGAGAAAACATCATTTACAATAGCAAAACAACCACAATGGCAAAAATTAAATTCTTAGAAACAATTATATCAAGAATTGTGCAGAATCTATATGAGAAAAAAAAATCCCTGAAAGACATAAAAACAAATTGAACAAATAGAGAAGCAACTCTAGCTCTTGGCTAAAAAAATTCAACATCATAAATTAACAGTTTTTTATAACTTAAATTTATATGTCTAATGCATTCAAGTGTATTCAAAATCCTTTCATGGAGCTACACATTTTAAATCTAAAATTCATAAGGAAAACATATAAGAATAGTGAGCTTATTAGATATTAAAACATACATATTAAACCCTCTATATTTAAAGTTGGTTTGTTACTCAGTAAATAGCTAAAAAGACCAAAGCATAGAACTGAAAGTCAAGTAATTGACCCAAATATAAATTGAAATTTATTATGTTATAAAGGTATATCTCAAATCACTAGTGTAAAGATGAACCTTTAAATAAATCATGCTGGCATAATTGGACATGTTTTTACAAAAAAATATACAATGTAATCTATTGCTTACTTTATATCTAGGAATAAATTTCAAATAGATGAGTGATCCAACCTAAAAAATGAAACATGTAAGAAATTGAAAGCATAGATGAATTCTTTTGTAACCTAAGTGTGGAGAAAAGTTTTCTAAGCATACTCAAGGTATTGATGAGGTAATAGAAAAGTTTAATAGGTTTAACTAGAAAAACAACATGCATAGCAAAACAAACACCATTATTTATTATATTAGCTCCAATGCTACAGTATACAAAAACGCTTAAAAGTGTTGGAGAAATTTGTAAAATACATAAAGGGCAAATTTGCTAAAACAAAATTTAAAAATACAAAAAACCTTTAAACATTTAAAAACATATCCAACTTCCTTCATGATGAGAAACATGCAATGTAAAATATATTTTCACTGATTCTCAGTTATCAAGTTGGCAAAAGTTAAAAATACATCTTGAGTAAGCAATGTGTTGACAGTCTGTAGGGAAACAGAAATTCTCATAATTGGTTAAGATAAGAAATGTAAATTAGTACATTTATGGAGCAGAATTTGGCAATATCTAGCAAAACTACAAGTTCTTGCTTTTTGACCCAGCAATCCTGTTTTATGAATCTATTCTCGTGGGCGGCAGGCCACCCAGGTGCAGAGGCAAGAGACTGAGGACATGAGCTGTTCCAGTATAATAAAATATAAAACAAGAATAGTTATACCAGATATAGATCTTAGATATGATTATATATGAATATCATTAATTATTAGTTTGTAGCAATTGCTCTTTATTCCAATATTATAATAATCCTCGCTCTATAATCATAATCTAGGAAAAACCAGGCCATACAGAGATAGGAGCTGAGGGGACACAGTGAGAAGTGACCAGAAGACAAGAGCACAAGCCTTCTGTTATGCCCAGACAGGGCCACCAGAAGGGCTCCTTGGTCTAGCGGTGACGCCAGCGTCTGGGAAGACGCCCATTGCCAGGTGGACTGTGGTCTAGCAGTAGCGAAAAGTGTCAAGGAACGACACCTGCTACTTAACAGACCGGGAAAGGGAGTCTCCCTTTCCCCGGGGGTGTTTACAGAAGATTCTGATCCTCCACTTCTTGTGGAGGGCCTGACATCAGTCAGGCTTGCCCACAGTTATCTGGAGGCCTAACCGTCTCCCTGTGATGCTGTGCTTCAGTGGTCACGCTCCTAGTCTGCCTTCATGTTCCATCCTGTACACCTGGCTCTGCATTTTAGATAACAGTAGCAAATTAGTAAAGTACTAAAAGTCTCTAATAAGCAGAAATAATGGTGTAAGCTGTCTCTCTCTCTCCCTCTCTTTCTCTCTGCCTTGGCTGCCAGGCAGGGAAGGGCCCCCTGTCCAGTGGACATGTGACCCACGTGACCTTACCTATCATTGGAGATGGCTCACACTTTTTACCCTGCCCCTTTTACTTTGTATCCAATAAATAACAGTGCAGACAGACATTCGGGGCCACTACCGGTCTCCACACATTGGTGGTAGTGGTCCCCCGGGCCCAGCTGTCTTTTCTTTTATCTCTTTGTCTTGTGTCTTTATTTCTACACTCTCTCATCACTGCACGTTGGGGAGAAACTCACCGACCCTGTGGGGCTGGTCCCTACAATTCTGAAGAACATATTTCTAACAATATGCACACATTATTCATTGCCGAATTGTTTATAATTGCAAAATAACAGAAATCACCTGAATGCCCATGCATAGGAAAATAGTTGAATAAACATACTATAGCCACATGATGAAATACTGAAGCTGCAAAAACAAGTGAGGAGGATAAGAAAAGATTATTTCCAACAATGAATAATCCATGTTCTTTGTTTGAAATGTGAGCCACTGTGGAAGAAAACAACCTTGTGAAATATCAACAAGAAACAAAATGCCTCATCATACCCTAAGATAATGAGATATAAAGCCTTGTGTAAATGAAATCAACTAGAAAAGCTTCAGAGTACACAATAAAATGGGTTGCTTTTGAAATAAGGCCTTTCTGCTCTGAAAAAGTTATTATGGTCTTCTGAATGGCATAATATCCAATGATGGACTAGAGAAATGAGACATGTACGCAAGGCCATTCTTCCTTTCTTACATAATTATAACACCTTACATTTTAAAAGCACTTTACAGTTGAATATCCTTGGAGTATATTATCTTATTCAACACCATTTTAATGTAAGCTACTTTAGTACATGGTTTTCCCATGAGAATCTATCGTTTCATAGCCTTGCTGGTTGTTGTTGTTTTTTTTTTCCTCACATCAATTACAAAACACGAGATGATACCTTTCTTCTGCCACAGATCATGAGTATAAGGATGGATGAGGGAGTAAATACTGTTTTTTTTTAATATGGTACACTTTTAAAGCCAGTTTTATGGTTCAAATATGTGTGGCTGCTATAGTACGTGATATTTTCTGAGTATGTATCTTAGTAAATAATTTCCAACATTGCTCACTCACCTTCTCTTATACATTGAATTCTTTCAGCTTCCTGCCCCAACAAATCCTACATTTCTTTTAATATCTTTTAATCTTCATATGTTTTTCTTGGTAAAAATTTAAATTTCTTGAGAAATCCCCCTTTTCAACATTCTATCAGGCCTGAATTATTCCTTTCTAGAACACAGACATGGTGTGAAAATGAGAAATTGAAATTTTAGCCAGAGAGCATGTTCTAGTTTGGGAAGAGGAGATTCTCTTGACTACAAATACTGTATAATGTCACAAGTGAACTTTATGAGAATGTAAATTTTGTCTGTAGAGCCGGACCATGTTCCAGATAGCTATGGACACAAGAAATCTCCCCTTGCAGGGGTATTTATATAATCTCATTTCTATGTTTCCTCTTTCACATAGCAAAACCAGACTTAAAACCTCATTAAACACCATAAAATCACACGATGAAAATTGCTAGAAAGTTTGTGGTTTAAATTAAATTTAAATAAGCAAATAAAAATATTGGGGAAGGTTGCAAAAGGAAATTGAGATGGACATGCAGAATATACACATCTACCTTAAAATAGAGAGCAAGTTATATTGGCATAGCCTACTTGTATTGGCTGGAGTTCTCCAGAGAAACACGACCAACAGGATACATATATATATATAGATATATAAAATAAGGTTTATTGTGAGAATTGGCTCACACAATTCTGGAGGCCCAGAAGAACACAGTATGCTGTCTGCAACTAGGAAAGCCAGTGGCATAACTCAGTTTGAGTCTGAGGGCCGGAGAAGTAATAGAAAGGGTGGTGGAGGAATAAGTCCCAGAGTTCAAAGGCTGCAGTACCAGGAACTCCAAATGAGGGCAGGAGTAAATGAATGTTTCAGTTTGAGAAGAGAGAAGAAAAGAAGAGAGAGAAGGAGAACAAGGGAAAGAGAGAATGAATTAGCTCTTCCTCTTCGTTTTGCTTCTCTTTGGGTCTCAACAGATTGAATCATGCCCACCTATATTGGTGAGTGAGGATCTTCTTTACTTAGTCTACTGATTCAAATGGTAATCTTTTCAAGAATAGTGCTATGATCTAAAACAATGTCGCTCTTCCAAAATACAGGTGTTGCCAATAAAATAGTATTAGAAAGTGAGTTTTTTGAAAGGTGATTAGGCAATGAGAGCTCCTTCCTCATGAATGGGATTAAGGCCATCATAAAAGAAGCTTCATTCAGTGTTTTAATACATAGCTTCCTATAATGCTCTTCTGTCATGTGAGGACAGAGTATTCCTCCCTTTCAGGGAATGTATTCCTCACCAGACAACTGAACCTGCCTATGCCTTGAACTCGGACTTCTCAGTCTCCAGAATTGAGAGAAACACATTTCTCTTCTTTATAAATAACCTAGATTGTGATATTCTGTAACAGCAGCACAAACAGATTAAGACAAAAGTCCTCCCAGAAACACCCAGAAATCATGTTTTACCAGCTGTCTGGGCATCCCTTAGTCCAGTCTGGTTGGCACAAAAAATTAACCATCACATTATAATTTAATATTAATATAATTTTCTACATCAAGAGTAATTAAGTTTTCAGTAAAAAACTTGATCCTAGTGTTTGTTAAGCACCTAAAAAGTATCCATCACTATGCTAAATATCTTTAAAAAAAATAAAAACTATGTCATTTAGTTAGGGAACTGTGCTTTAAAAAGAAAACAGAAAAATTAAAATTGACATGAAAGTAATAAATAACGAATAATTATTTAGTAAATAAAGCATATTTGACCTGTAAAGAAAAAAATATTAACCTTTGAAAAAAGATACTTAACCAGGCGCGGTGGCTCATGCCTGAAATCCCAGCACTTTGGGAGGCTGAGGTGGGCGGATCACGAGGTCAGGAGTTCGAGACCAGCCTGTCCAATATGGTGAAACCCCATCTCTACTAAAAAATACAAAAATTAGCCGGGTGTGGTGGCGTGCACCTATAGTCCCATCTACTCAGAAGGCTGAGGCAGGAGAATCGATTGAATCCGGGAGGTGGAGGTTGCAGTGAGCCGAGATCGTGCCACTGTACTCCAGCCTGGGCAGGAACAACAACAACAAAAGATACTTAGACATCATTATGTACAGATATATTAAATTTCTTTGTTAATTGTGAGGATGAGAATTAGGATTGGTGTAAGTGTAGATGTGTTTTTGAGCCATGTTAGGAAGATAATTATGATCTCTGATCAAGGCAAAAAAAAAAAAAGTTTAACCTGGACAATTATTTGCCATGTATATTATAGCGAAGTTAACGTAACACTGTATTCAAGTTTAGGATAGAATAAGATGGATTCAGATTTGGGATTGAGGTGATCTCCTGCAAGCAAACAATTGAGTTGATGTAATAAATTTTATAATATAAAAAACTGAAGAAACCTAATTGTTAAGTTGTGTAGTGATGTTTTACAAGTATACAGGAAAAGTTTTGAAAATTTTAATGAGAAGAAGTTTATTTAATTTTCCTGTATCACAGTGGTCACTGTGGAGGGAAAGGTGTGGGCAAAATACATTTGAGCTAAGCTCAGGAGGAGCCACTTGACCTAGGCAACTCTGCTGATCATTGTGAGATTACAAAACACCTTCAATTGGAAGAAGTGTTGTTACAATGAGGATGGCTCAGATGTGTCAATGGATAGAAGTGATAAGCATGTTGATAAGGCATGTAGTGGATATGTCTCTTGAAACTAGGATGTGGGTATATTACTTATGTTTTCAAATATGAAATTCTCAATGAGAATTAAATTCAGAAATGATTATTGTTGGGTGACATCCATTATCTTCTGGAAAATTTGGTGGCAAAGATTTTGGGCACTTTGAGGGTTGTCAACATTGTAGCTTCTGGCATCTTTCCTAAGTGTCTTAGATGTTGACTGGCTCTGGCAATGCTATCCTCACTAGAGAAGCCTCTTTTAGTGTGATTGTATGTGTTACTTAGCATTAAATTTTTGTTTACAGAGTCGCAGACCCAGTGACCTCCCCAGTAGAAATTCTTTTTTCAAGATAGTTGTTTTAATACGTGTGTTTCAGAAGCATGATTTTATTTCTTATAGATTCTTGATGTGCCTAGAATGATGGAACCACCTCAAGGCACGCAATGGTTGAAGCAACAAACTGATCTTGGGCCTGAATTCGGAGACACACCTCTTGTTATTATTGCATCTATGTCACCATCAAGTAATTACATATTCCCACCACAAGCTCTGAAAACATGCAAAACCACCTGACAAAAAGGAGAAACAAAAGAAAAAGGGGGTCTGAAACATAACCAGATGTACAATACAATCTGTTAAGGTGGGTTCCAGAAACAAAATAGATGAACCTGAAATAGAAACAGATTACTACCCTGCAGTGATCTAAAATGATGCTTAGAAAACAAAAAGTAGCTGGCCGGGTTCACGCCTGTAATCCCAGCACTTTGGGAGGCCGAGGCAGGTGGATCACCTGAGGTCAAGACCAGCTTGGGCAACATGGTGAAACCCTGTCTCTACTAAAAATACAAAAATTAGCTGGGCACGGTGGTGCCTGCCTGTAATCCCAGCTAATCAGGAGACTGAGGCAGGAGAATCGCTTGAGAGCCCAGGAGGCAGAGGTTGCAATGAGCCAAGATTGCACCATTGCAATTCAGTCTGGGCAACAGAGCGAAACTCCACCTCAAAAATAAAAAGAAAAAGAAAAAGAAAAAGAAAAAAGAAAACAAAAGGTAGCAGCCAAGAAAAATTAATGTAATATGTCCTCCCCTCATCACATCCCTCACACTGCCCTAGATGTCTGTCAGTGTTGTCTGAATGAAGACTTTCTCTTCCAACACTACAGCTCATTTTTTCTCCACCAAATGACTCTTTTTCAGAGATGAATACATGTAGCAAGCTATGTCTGCCTTCTGTTTTCTCTCTTCAGCTTCACCTTGGTATGTTGCTCTTGACTACTCCCAAGCCACATCTGTATAGCTCTTTAAGGGACCCATACTCCTTTAAGTATGACTTTGCTGGTCTTTTCTAAAAGGTGTTAAGATATTAGCCTTGGCTTATTGGTCCAAATAATATTTCTAGTCATTCAGTGAGGCATTGCAAATAGATGCTTGCATTTGACTCAGTTCCACATCATTCTCTCTGCTTCTTTAAATATGGGCAGAAGTGGGTATTGAATTATGCCAGGCATATCACTAGTGAGAGTAGGATTTATTCACCTTATAGGCCTTATATACTCCTGGAGTAGGAATGATAAGGATGTGGAGATGGTGATTAATGGAGGTAACCATTGATATTAGAACTGCAATTTGTTTAAAGTTCGAAGTCCTGAGGAAACTCTGGGGGAAAAATTGTCTGCTTTATCCCTGTTGTTGGCTGAAATCCCTTGCTTCTACATTTAGTCATAATTTAAAAGTTCCTGGGAATTGCAAAAATAATGAAGTGTGAATGTAATTAAAGTGGGTAAAATGGCTAGTTGATTGTGAAGGTCATGGATATGAAGTGAAAGAGAGGCACATATACTTAATATAGTTGCTATAATATCTAATTATGATATATCCTTTCTAATAATTATGCAAAGATAATTTGCAAGTTAGATAATTGAGAAATTCATTTAAACTTTTTTTCACTTCATGGCATTCTATCTTTCAGGGGAGTTGAGCTGAGTTTAAAGACAACTTTCTTATTCGTAAAACCTGGAGAAGAAATCATGGAAACTTCAAAAAGTATTAAAAACTTTTATCAGACAGAAGACATACAAAACCTGATTTCTGTTATTAAACATTTGGGGTGATACCTCAGGATACATGGGCCACAGGATATTAAATGCTATCAAGGACAAGAAATGCTTATTTGTGATTAACATCTTTACAGATTTGTTTCCATGTTCAAAGAGCATGTTCATATATACAATCACATTTAATCTATACTTTAATTCTGTCACATGAGGATTATATTCGTATCCTCATTTTATTATAACAGATTTGATACTCAGGTAGATTAATTATCTTGCTGAATAGAATGAAATTAGGTTACAATGAACAGTGATTTGAAAGTATATCTCCTGACTTTAAATCCATCATCATTCCTCTCTGTGCAGTTTTAGCAAAATTACATTAAATTTCATGAAAGCCTTGCAAAAAGTAATAATGACATGCTGGAATTTTTTATGCATTTTTAAATAGGACTAACTCTTACAACCTTACCGCATACAGAAATTTGCATGTTCAAAGAAAACTATTTTTGTTTCCTATGAATTGATTGCCAAGTGATCCATAAATTCCAAAATAAAACGTGAAATTAAAGCACTCAAAATGACTGCTTGGAATTTACTTCATTTCCCTCATGGAATTAGAGTGAAAGCACTTGGTAATTTTGCTTGCTCCAAGGGCCTTAGGAAAATTGACTTTCAGTGTTGATGAAATAATATTTGGAATGACAAACATTGGCAGGAAGACAATTTACTCTGTTGATAACATTGAGGAAGCCATTTTCATCTTGAGATTTAATCAGAAATCTCTGGAAGGATGCAATTTACAAAATAATTGCCCCATGACATTGCAAAATGACATTAATCTCTGATGACTCTAAATGCCAACATTTTAGATGATGATACTTTTGGTTTAAAAAGTCACAATAAAATAGGATGTCAATTGTACAATGGATTAAATTAAGAAAGGCTTAATTTAAAATTCTGAATTCTAGTGTAAAATAGTAAAAAACCTAGAAAAGTTCTCACTCTCAGAAAAATGTACCATATGTCCCCTAAAATATAGATTGAACCAACGACATTAAAGAAGCAATTAAAATGGTGTCCTGTGGTGTTAAAATTCAAGTTCACATATGGCATTCCTCACCTGTAATAATTTTATTTGGTTTCTAAGATCAGTTATTTATTTATTGCTTTTGTGGTTTTAATGGTAAAAACATCTGTAATAATAACAAAAAAATGTAATACTTTCACAAAAGATGTGTTATGTTCAAGTTCATTGTTGTATTATATTAATTTTCATTATGATACAAGCCCTGAAAATTTGTCTTTTTGCTGCATTGAAAATATTAAACTGGTTGACAAAAGGAAATAAATTGTAGGTGGAAGAATGAAGTAACAGAATTAATAAGTAGTGTCATGTTATCTCTATAGTATATGCAGTAATACAAAAATTTGCATTGATAATCAGATATTTGTTTGTAATTACCCATAGGTATACCAGACATCAATTTCTATTCTTACTTATTGTTCGGATATTTTTAAATAATATTGAATGGGTTTTGGAGGTAATGTGAAAATTAATTAGATAACATAGAATGTTGGCTAAAAATGTGGGTTGTAAAATTAAAGTGCTAGGTTTAAAATACTGGCTTTAATTCATACCATTGATATACTCACAAATAACTTTTTTAAATCTAGAATCTTTAATATCTTTATTTATTTAATGCAAAAATTCATAGAATTTTCCTCATAAAATTTGTTGTTCTGTTGGCATGTGAGGATTAAGTAGGATAAACCATGTAGAAAAGTGTCTGACATGCAGTGAGACTCAATAAAAATTAACCAACTATATCATCCTCATCATCTTTTTCCAAATGATGTTCCCAAGACAAGTGTAACTGTAAGCATTACTCATTCCTTTGAGTAACAATTATAAATAAGAATGTTCCTCAGTAAATTTGTAGAGTAAGAAGTTTTAAATTTCCATACCATCAGTCCTTTCTAGCATTTCATTTATGATTACATTGAACATTTTTAACCTTTCCATTTTTCAAAATGTAATAAATATTAATTTTATGTTCTTTTTATTCATAATTTGATTGATACTTCCAAGTGATTCCAAAGTCAAAAGTTTTCTCTGCAATCATACTCAAATATTAGCCTATGAAAACATTTATATATCAATGTAAATGGTTTTCTATTATTAAAAATAGATCTTGTAAGTTACAAATGACCCTTGAACAACATGGGTTTGAACTGCCCAGGTCCACATACAAGTGGGTTTTTTTCAGGAAGAACAGTTGTCCCGCTGCATCCCCGTATATTGCAACCAAACGCAGGTTGGAAATACAGTATGAAAAGGATGTGAAATCTGCACATATAGGGGCAAGTTTTTTACATCCTTAGGCTCTGGAAGGCCAACTGAGGGATTTGAATATGTGCAGATTTTGGTATCCTCTTGGGTTTGGGGGTGTCCTGGAGCCAATCCCCTGTAGGTACTGAGAGACAACTGTAATTAGTTCCTAGAATTACTGAGTCAAGTGCAATTCTATTTATAAGTCAATGTTATTGGATTCTTTTTTCAAATTGTCATATGACACGTATGACACATTGGAGGGTGTCTATAAAGTAGATAATGTATGATGAAGCTATGTGGTTTTTAAAAGTATACTCACTAGTAAGTCACTCTCTAATGAAATTCAATAGAATAATTCCATATCTCCTTATTTACCACTTATTACTACTGTTTTATTTGTCTCTGTTGGTTACTGATCTTCCCCAAAACTCCAGTTTCATTTTGACACCTCTTGCTTTACATGTCCTCATTCATTCAGCTTTTAGGCCATAGTTTTATTCACATAAGCTCCTCTTTTTGAATAACTAACACGCTAAGTTTACTAACACTTAGGCAAAGCATTTCAGCATGTACCACAGAAGTTTAGTAAACCAGCTATATATTTATTCAACTATGGATGCCTCTAAATTTTCTAAATGTGCCCATCATTCTTATTGCTTTATTTATCCAGGTATTACAAACCTATAATTTGTGAATTAAAACAAATTATGTTTGCCTTTGCATCATGGAAAGTGACATTCTTCCACTTAATAATATAATGTATCAAGAAATAACTAAAAGGCTTATCTTTCAGTGTTGGTTGGATTGATATCCAGAAATATCAGTGAAAAGGTAAGAAGGCAGATGTCAAATTGGTCTAGGACCTTATTATATCTGCCCAATGAATTACACATTATGTATCCGGGATAATAAAGTAGTTTTGGCAGTGGACTATGAAAAATTATTAGCATTCTTTTCTTGAAGACATGCTTAGTATCTACATAGGGAAGGTGTTATATTTTAAGCAAAAACAAAATGGAGCTCTGGAGACCAGTCAGCTTTGACAGATTAGAAAAAAGATTACCAACATGCATGAGTTTCTTGAGTCACTTGAAGAGAAATTATCCAAGGAAGATCTGTTGGCATCAGGGTAGAACAATCAAGGGAGGAAGATGAAAGAAGATAATTAGCTGGAGATTATTGCCTTTCACATGTGGTGGAATGCACCTTTTCTGGCAAATAGACCAGTTCAAAAATATTTGTTGAAGAAATAAAGTAATAAAACTAGAAGTATATCTGGCCACTTTTGATGGTGTCACCCACATTTAGAATATAGCACTGTGAGGGCCAGCACTATTTTATCAGGATGTATTTGCTCCTCTACAATCTATACAGAGATGACAGCACATATTGAAAATCAACTAACTTTAGATATTTAAAACATGCTTACATCCATTAAATTGAAATTGTAATAGGAATAATTTTATGTTACTCATCTTCAGACTACTCTACACCAGTCATGTAAACCATTTTTAAGCTTTATTGTGGTATAATTGACAAGATAAACTGCCCAAAGTTGAAGAGTAAAATGTTATTTAAGTTTTGACATAGGTGTAACCATAAAATTATCATCATAATTAAAATAGTATAATTAATCACCCCCAAATTTTTCTTATACCTCTTATAATCTTTAAGCCTTGTTCCCACTCCCACCATCTTGTCTCCAGATATGCACTGATGTACTTTCTGTGACTGTTGATCAGTTCATATTTTTCTAGAGTTTTACATAAATGGAAACGTTGAGTATATATTCTTTCTAACTGATGTCTTCCAATCAGCATATAATTTTTTAGAATCATCCCTATTGCTCATTCTTTTTAATTGATGACTGTTATTGTTGCATGGTCATAATTTTTTAACCACTCACCTGTTAATAGATATTTGGATGTTTCAAGTTTTTGGCAAAGAAATGTATTAGATAATAGAAACTGAGGTAAATAGGCCTTTAGTGTGAGGTTTTATGATAATTTAGCTAGGCGTTTGGCTATGTTTGATATTTGCTGTAGCTGCAGTTGCCAGAGGATTCAAACTCCACTACTGTCATTTACCATTCTCCCTCTCTCTCTGTCTTTTTATTTTTGTTTTCCTTAAGAACTCCTTCATAAATAGATTGCACAGTATGCAGCTCTTTATATTATATTTTAGTGTTTTTATCCTAGAGTCCTATTGCTGTAGTAGTAAAATATGGCAGAAGGGGAGCCTTTATATGAGTTTACAATTAAAATTTCAATCTTTTCATGGGCCTGTGCCCTAGAGAGGGACCTTCTAGGTATTTTCTAGCATCATTAGGGGAGATAGGAAAGCTAGAGGAGCTGGATAATTGCTCTTCCCACAGGTCTAATAAGGAACTGGATAATTGTTCTGACCACAGGTCTGATAAGGCTCTGGCAAAGCTTAGCCTCTGAAAACATGCCTTTGTTATGAAGAATGCTTTGGTTGTGTTTCAAAATGGTAATTATTTCCTCCTCCCAACCTACTACAAAAATAAGCAAACAAACAACAACAACAACAACAAATACTTAAAGGCAATTTTCTTGGCTCTCCATGATGAGAACCTTTGGGTTTCTTGCAGCTAAAACCCATGAATGTTTGCTTCCCCCAAGACTGTGCCCAGGAGTTTCTAATTCTCATGCTAGTCCACATTCAGCCTCCAGAAATTTTTCAAAATTTTCATTTAAGTGTCTTTTCTAGTTTGGCACTCCAGTGGCTGTGTTCCACGTAGGCTGAGCTCAGCTGTGATTCTCTGTATTCATCTGTTTCTCCAGGTTTGGGGGTGACAGTGCCCTGTGATATCAGTTCCCTGATGGTTCCAACAAGATGTTGTTAATTTGAGTTTCTTCAGCTCTTTTCTTCTTGTAAGTGTAGGGCTGACAACTAACAAGCCCTTTACATGTCAAAGCTCAAATGAGAAGTCTGTCTAATTTCTTAAGAAATGGCCAAACTATTTCAAAAGTGGTTGTATCACTTTATATTTTCCAAACTAGTATATTGGATTTCACTTGCCCCATAGTGTCAGCAATAATTAGTATCATTAGGTTTTTAAGTTTTTGTTCTTTTATAATTTTTTTAATTTTTAATTTTTGTGGGTACATAGTAGGTGTATATATTTATGAGGTACATATTTATGGGGTATATAAGATGTTTAGATACAGGCATGCAATGTGAAAGAATCACAACATAAAGAATGGGAAATCCATACCCTCAAGCATTTATCCTTTGTGTTACAAACAATACAATTATACTCTTTTAGTTATTTTTAAATGTTCATTTAAGGTATTATTGACTATAGTATCCTGTTGTGTTATCAAATAGTAGGTCTTATTCATTCTTTCTATTTTTTGCATCCATTAACCATTCCTACCTCTCCCTTACACAACCTCCCTCATCCTCGACTACCATTCCCAAGCCTCTCATAACCATCCTTCTACTATCTCCATGAGTTCGATTGTTTTGATTTTCAGACCCCACAAAAAAAGTGACAACAGTGATATTTGTATTACTGTACCTGGCTTATTTCACTTAACATGAAAATCTCAAGTTTCATCCATGCTGTTAGAAATGACAGGGTCCCATTCTGTTTTATGGCAGAATAATACTCCATTGTGTATATGTGCCACAGTTTCTTTATACATTCATTTGTTTATGGACACTGAGGTTGCTCCCAAATCTTAGCTATTGTGAACAGTGCTGCAACAAACATGGGAGTGCAAATATACTGCACTTCAATATACTGATTTCCTATCTTTGGCATACATACCCAGCAGTGGAATTGCTGGATCATATGTGAGCTCAATTTTTAGTTTTTGAGGAACATGCACATTACTCTCTATGGTGGTTGTACTAATTTACATTCTCACATCCCTTTTTCTTCACATTCTTGCCAGTATTTATTATTGCTTGTCTTTTGGATATAAGCCATTTTAAGTAGGATGAGATGATATCTCATCTTACTTTTGATTTATATTGCTCTGATGATCAATGATGTTGAGGATATTTTCATATGCTTGTTTGCCATTCATATGAATCCTTTGGAGAAATGTCTATTCAAATTTTTTGCCCAACTTTTGACTGGATTATTAAATTTTTTCCTATAGAGTTGTTTGAGATCTTTATATATTCCAGAAATTAATCCTTTGTCAGAGGGGTAGTTTGCAAATATTTTCTTCCATTCTGTGGGTTGTCTCTTCATTTTGTTGATTGTATCCTTTTCTATGCAGGAGCTTTTTAACTTGATGTGATCTCATTTGTCCATGTTTTTATTTGTTTGCGTGTGTTTGTGGGGTATTGCTCAGGAAATTTTTGTCCAGACCAATGTACTGGAGATTTTCTCCAATGTTTTCTTATAGTAGTTTCATAGTGAGAGATCTTAGATTTAAGTCTTTAATTCATTTGATTTGATTTTTGTATGTGGCAAGACATATTAGTCTAATTTCATTCTTCTGCATATGGATATTTAGTTTACTCAGCACCATTTATTGAATAGACTTTTTTCCCAGTGCATGTTCTTAGCACCTTTGTCAAAAATGAGTTCAGTGTAGGTGTGTAGGTTTGTTTCTGGGTTCTCTATTCTGTTCCATTGGTCTATGTATCTGTTTTTATGCCAGTACCATGCTGTTTTGGTTACTGTAGTTCTTTAGTATAATTTGAAATCAGGTAATGTAACTCCTCCAGTTTTGTTCTTTTTACTTAGGATAGCTTTGGATATTCTGGGTCTTTTTTGTTCTATAAATATTTTAGGATTTTTTTTTCTATTTCTATGAAGTTTGTCATTGGCATTTTGGTAGGGATTGCTTTGAATCCATAGATTGCTTTGGATAGTATGGGTATTTTAACAATATTGTTTCTTCTAATCCACGAACATGGAATTTTTTTTCATATTTTAGTGTCCTCTTTAATTTCCTTCATCAGTGTTTTATAGCTGTCATTATAGAGATCTTTCATTTATTTGGTTAAGTTAATTGCTAGGTATTCAATTTTATGTGTGTCTGTTGTAAATGAAATTACTTTTTTGGTTTCTTTTTCAGATTGTTTGCCTTTGGCATATAGAAATGCTACTGATTTTTGTAAGTTAATTTTGTATCCTGCAACTTTACTGAATTTGTTTATCAGTTCTAATAGATTTTTTTGTGTGTGTGTGAAGTCTTCAGGTCTTTCCCAGTATAAGATCATGTCATCTGCAAACAAGGACAACCTGATATCTTCCATTCCAATTTGGATGCCCTTCATTTCTTTCTCTTCTCTGATTGCTCTAGCTAGGACTTCCAGCACTATGTTGAATAACAGTTGTGACAGTGGGCATCCTTGTCATGTTCCAGATATTAGAGAAAAGGGTTTCCATTTTTCCCCATTCAATATGACAATAGCTGTGAGTCTGTTGTATACTGCTTTCATTATGTTCAGATATGTTCCTTTTATACCCAGTATTTTGAGTGTTTTTGTCATGAAGGGATGCTGAATGTTATTTGTTGATTTTTTCAGCATCAATTGAAATAATCATATGCTTTTTATTCATCGTTCTGTTGATATGATGTATCACATTGATTTGCACATGTTGAATCTTCCTTGCATCCCAGGGATAAATCCTGCTTGGTTATAATGAAGATCTTTCTAATGTTTTGTTGAATTTTGTTTGCTAATGTTTTGTTGAGACTGTTTGCATCAATACTTATCAGAGATATTGGCCTGTAGTTTTCTTTTTATCATGTGTCTTTGTTTATTCTGAGACATCTGGTATAGACAGAGACACATAAAACAACAATATCATATCTACAAGACAATATATACAAGACAACTTGCAGACAACTGCAAGGAAATATCTTGTCTTGGTAACTTTGGTATACCATGGTTTTGGTATAAGGGTAATAATGACCTTGCAGAATGGGTTTGGAAGTATTCCCTTCTCCTGGATTTTTCAGGATAGTTTGAGTAGGGTTGATATTAGTTATTCTTTAAATGCTTGGTAGAAGTCAGCAGTGAAGCCATTGGGTCATGGGCTTTTCTTTATTGGGAAAAATTTTTATTATGGCTTTGATCTTGTTACTTATTATAGGTCTGTTCAGGTATTGGATTTCTTTCTGGTTCAATCTTGGTAGTGAAAGAGACAGGAAGCAGTGAAATTCTAGGCAGAAAAAGGTGGGTCCCTGACAAAACCCAACCCTCAAGCTGAAAATCCTGAAACCTACAGCCCAAAGTCAGAACATCTATCTCTGTTTCCCTACTGGAATATTGCCTTTTCCCAAACTACCCATGGCCTGCCCCACCTCTTACTGTACCTATAAACATTCCAGACGCAGCTGGCAGAGAAGAGAGAAGCAGCTGAACATTGGAACTACAGCTGGACATTGGAGAGAAGCAGCTTAACTTCAGAGGGACAGGATGACAGTGAAACTTTGGAGGAGAATCTGGCTGGAGACGGCAGGACTTCGGGGGAAGATTACCTACTACCCCCTCCCCTTTTCAGCTCCCCTTCCCACTGAGAGCCACATTCACTGGCAATAAAATTCCCTGCATTTACCATCATTCAATTATTCATGTGTCCTCATTTTTCCTGGATGCTAGACAAGAGCTTGGGAGCCACGATTGTGGCTACAAAAGGCTGTCACATTGGCCTTTCGCACTCACTAGTGGAGAGCAGCTGCCACATGGGAAAAGGCAAAGCATCCACTGAGCTGTTAATACTTAAGCCATCTGAGGATGGCAGAGCTGAAAGAACACTGTAACACACCCTCTGGGGCTTCGGGAGTCTCAGGTACCCTGCCTGGAAACTGCCACAGTGCCTGCACAGAGTTCACCCCTGCTGGCCCCCAAAAGGGTTCATTCAGGCTCCTGCACCTGCTTACCTGCACAACTCTCTTCCATAAGTGTGGGACACAGTCAGTCCGAGTGAGTGGAGTTTGATTCCCCCCTCCACCCCCTGGCCCCGGCGCCAAAGATGCCAGCTGATTTCAGCACTCCTGCACTCCAGTTCCCGCCTCATTTACTCACGCGCTCCCTCCTGCAAGGAGTTGAGAGGGACAGGCTCAGTAAATGAGTCAGGCCTGTTGTGCTTTCCCTGAAGAGGTCAGGGAAACACCCTGCTTTAATAGGTCATATGTGTCTAGGAATTTGTTCATTTCTTCTGGGTTTTCCAATTTATTGACATATAGTTGCCCATAGTAGCCACTAATAGTCCTTCAAATTTCTGCTGTATCAGTTGTAATGTCTCCTTTTTCATTTCTGATTTTATGTACATTTTCTTTTTTTCTTAGTCTGGCTAAAGTTTTGTCAATTTTGTTTAACTTTTTGAATAAAATAACTTTTTGTTTAATAATTTTTTCTATTCCATTTCAACTTCATTTATTTCTGCTCTGATTTTTATTATTTATTCTACTAATTTGGGATTTGGTTTGCTCTTGCTTTTCTAGTTTTTTAAGATGCATTGTTAGATTGTTTATTTGAAGTTTTTCCTCTTTTTTGATGTAGGCGTTTAAAGCTATAAACTTTCCTGTTAGTACTGGTTTTGATGTATTCAATAGGTTTTAGTGTGTTATGTTTTCATTATCATTTGTTTCAAGAAAGTTTTCAAATTTTTCAATTTCCTTCTTAATTTGTTCATTGACCTACTCTCCATTCAGGAGCACATTGCTCAATTTACATGTATTTTTATAGTTTCCAAATTTTCTCTTGTTATTAATTTTTAGTTTTATTCTACTGTGTTCTGAGAAGATGCTTGATATTATTTCAATTTTTTGAATGTGTTAAGTCTTGTTTTGTGACCTAACATATGGTCTATCCCTTGAGAATGACCCATAAGCTGAGGGGAAGAATGTGTGTTCTGCAGCCATTGGATGAACTGTTCTGTAAATATTGATTATATCCATTTGGTCTGTAGTGCAGATTAACTGTGATGTTTCTTTGTTGATTCTCTATCTAGAAAATCAGTCTAATGCTGAAAGTGGGGTGCTGAAGTCCTCAGCTATTATTATATTTGGTCCGTCTCTCTCTTTAGCTCTAATAATTTGCTTTATGTATATATATATGAGTGGTCCTGTGTTGAGTGCATATATATTTAAAATTGTTGTATTCTCTTGCTGAATTGACCCCTTTATCATTATATAGTGACCTTCTTTGTCTCTTCTTATAGCTTTTGTCTTGAAATCTATTTTATCTGATATAAGTGTAGTTAATCCTACTCTTTGTTGGTTTCCATTGGCGTGGAATATCTTTCCCCATCACTTTACTTTCAGTTTATTTGTGTTTTGATATGTGAAGTGTGTTTCTTATAGGCAACAGATCAATGGATCTCATTTTTTTATCCATTCTGCCACTCCTGTCTTTCAATTGAGAAACTTAGTCCATTTACATTCAGTGTCATTATTGATAAGACATTCTCATGCTATTTTAACATTTGTTTTCCAGTTCTTTTGTGATCTTCCTTCTTTCTTTTTTTTTTGTCTGCCTTTAGTGAAGGTGTTTTTCTCTGGTGATATGATTTAGTTTCCAGCTTTTTATTTTTTGTGTATCCATTGTATGTTTTTTGGTTTGATGTTACTATGAGACTTGCAAATACTCTCTTGTAGCCCATTGTTTTAAACTAATAACTACTTAACACTATTTGCATAAACAAACATGCAGAAATCAAACTAATAAAAACTCTACACCTCAACTTCTTCCCGCACCTTTTAACTTTTTCTTGTTTCTCTTTATGCCTTATTGTACTATGTCTTGAAAAATTGTTGTAATTACTTTTTATTGGTTTATCGTTTAGTGTTCCTTCTTAATAAGAGTAGTCTACACATCACGGTTACAAGGTTATATTATTCTGTGTTTTTCTGTATATTGATTATTACCAGTGAGTTTTTTGCCTTCAGGAGCTTACTTATTCCTTGTTAACATCCATTTCTTCCTGGTTGAAGTACTCCCTTTAGTATTTCTTGTAGGACTAGTCTGGTATTGATAAAATTCCTCAGTTTTTGTTTTTCTAGGAAAGTCTATTTCTCCTTCATTTTTAAAATATATTTTCCAAGATATACTCTTTTAGGGTAAAATTTCTTTTCCTTCAGCATTTTAAATATGGCATGCCACTATCTCCTGGCCTGTAAGGTTTTCCACTGAAGTCTGCTGCCAGACTTATTGGAGCTGCATTGTATGTTATTTGTTTCTTTTCTCTTGTTGCTTTTTGGATCTTTTCTTTGTCCTCAATCTTTGATAGCCTGTTTACTAAATGCCTTGAGGTAGTCTTCCTTCAGTTAAATCTGCTTGGTATTCTATTACTTTCTTGTACTTGGATATTGATATCTTTATCTAGGTTTGGGAAGTTCTCTGTTATTATCCCTTTGAATAAATTTTCTATTCCTATATCTTTTTATACCTCCTGTTTAAGGCCAGTAATTCATATTTGCACTTTTGAGGCAATTTTCTGGATACTACAGGTGGGCTTTATTGTTTTTTATTCCTTTTTCTTTTGTCTCTTCTGATTGTGTATTTTCAAATAGCCTGTCTTCAAGGTCACTGATTCTTTCTTCTGCTTAATCAATTCTGCTATTAAAAGACTCATGCAATCTTTAGCATGCCAATTATTTTAGGTCCAGAATTTCTGTTTGATTCCTTTTAATAATTTCAATCTCTTTGTTAAACTTATCTGATAGAATTCTAAATTTCTATGTGTCATCTTGAATTTCTTTGAGTTTCCTCAACATATCTATTTTGAATTCTCTATATGAAAAGTCACATATCTCTATTTCTCCAGGACTGGTCCCTGGTACCTTGTTTATTACATTTGGTAAGGTAATGCTTTCCTGGAAGGTGTTGATGCTAGCAGATGTTCTTCAGTGTCTGGACATCGAAGAGTTAGGTATTTATTGTAGTCTTTACTGTCTGGGTTCGTTTGTACTTGTCCTTCTTGGGAAGGCTTTCCAGATATTTGAAAGGAATTAGGTGTTGTGATCGAAACTGTATATGCTTTAGGGGACACATCAAATTCAGTAATGCTGTGGTTCTTGCAGACTCATAGTGGTATTGCCTTGATGGTCTTGGAGAAGATCCAGGAGAATTCTCGGATTACCATGCAGAGATTCTTGTTCTCTTCCTTTACTTTCTACCAGACAAAGTCTCTCTCTCTCTATCTCTCTCTGTTCTGAGCCACAAACTCAGGGTGGAGTGACACAAACACCCCTGTGGCCACCACCACTGTGACTGTCCGGGGTCAGACTGAAGCCAGCACAGCAATGTTTCGCACTCAAGGCCTGCTGTAACCACTCCTTGCCCACTGCCTATATTTGCTCAGGGGCCTGGGGCTCTGCGATCAGCAGGTTGCAACGCCAGTCAGACCAGTGTTCTTCTCTTCAGGGTGGCAATTTCCCATAGGCCCTAAGTGGGTCCAGAGGTGCCATTCAGGAAGTAGGAACTTGGGTCAAAAACCTTAGAAGTCTTAGAAGTCTACCTGGTGTTCCATTGTGCTGGAGCTGAGCTAGCACTCAAATCACAAGATGCAGTCCTCTCAATTCTTCCCTCCCCTTTCTTTCTTTTTTTGAGATGGAGTCTCACTTGTCGCCCAGGCTGGAGTGCAGTTGCGCGATCTCGGCTCACTGCAAGCTCCGCCTCCCGGATTCACGTCATTCTCCTACCTCAGCCTCCCGAGTGGCTGGGACTACAGGCACCCACCACCACGCCCAGCTAATTTTTTGTATTTTTAGTAGAGACGGGGTTTCACCATGTTAGCCAGGATGGTCTTGCTCTCCAAACTTCGTGATCCTCCCGCCTCGGCCTCCCAAAGTCCTGGGATTACAGGCATGAGCCACCGCGCCCAGCCTTCTGTCCCCTTTCTAAAAGCAGAGGAACCTCACCTTGTAGCCACCACCCCCAGGCCATGGGGAATACTGCCTGACTATTGCCAATTTTCTCTTAAGGCCCAAGGACACTTGAGTCAGCTTGTGGTGAATGCTGCCTGGACTGGGACTTATCCTTCAGGACAGTGGTCTCCTGTCTTGCAGGGCAAGTCCAGAAATGCTTTCCAAAAGTCAAGTCCTAGAATCAGGGATCCTAAGAGCTCACTTTGTGTTCTACCCACCCTATGGCCGTGCTGGTACTTAATGTACAAGATAAAGTCCTCTTTACTTTTCCACTTCTTTTCTCAAGCAAGAATTTCTCCCTGTAGCACTGTTTCTCACCCTCTAAAAGTTGCTGGCTTCAGGTGAGACTCAGAACATTTCCAGCTGTGTGGCTAGTAACTCCACGTAGTACCTGGTTATCACCGCTGGTTATTCTGGGCTCAAGCAGTCTTCAGTTAGCAGGTGATGAATGATGCTAGAACTGGATCTTTTTCTATGGGGCAGTGGGTTCCCTTTTTTGTCTAGGGCATGTCTAGAAATGTCATTTCGGAGCTAGGGTCTGGAACAGGGGCCTCACAACTCTGACCAGTACCCTATCCTGTTGTGGCTGAGCTGGTATCCAAGATGCAAAACAAAGTCCTCCCCATTTTTCCCTCTTCTCTCCCCAAGCAGAAGGAAAGGGTCTCCTTTGGGGCTTCATGCAGCCTGGGGTTAGGGGAGAGGTGATGCCAGCACTCCCTTAGCCACCCCAGCTGGTGTCTCAGTAGGTCACCTGCTCCCCCAGCCACTGTCTCTGGGCCTAGTTCAGCAATAGGACTCACCTAAAAATTGGAGTCCTTTTGGCCTAGACTGCATTTCAAGTTTATATAGAGCACAGAGCACTTAGCCTTCACTGCCAAGGTTTGTGGGAACTCAAGTTCAGATCACTGGGATTAGTGGTTCCCCTAAGGCTAGGGCTGGTTTAAATGCTCCCATTGTGGGCGGGTATCAGATGAGTCTGGACCAGTTTGCCTTTCTGCTGTAACAGAACAGCACTGAGTTCAGTGCCTCACAATTGTTGTGCTCTCCCTCCCTCCCCTCAGCACCCAGATACACTCTCTACACCATGCCACCACTGCTGGGGGATGGGGTAAGGGTAGTATTGGCGATTCGGGACTGTTTTTTCTATGTCTTCAGTGTCTCTTTCAGTGATAGACTTAAAACCAGGTACAACGAGGGCTCACCTGATTTTTGGTCCATATGAAGGTTTCCTTTTTCTATGTAGACAGTAGTTAAATTGGTGTCCTTGTTGGAGAAGAGGGGTGATGATAGGTGGAGCATTCTATTTCATCATCTTGCTCCCCTCTCCCACTAATCTAAAATTTAGACCTTCTAATAGGCCTATAGTGTTATCTTATGGCTTATAATTATTTAATGTTCCCCTGTTCATAATTTAACTTTCATGAATTTTTGGGGACCAATCCTATCAAGTACATTATATTCTCTAATTCTTTTGTGCTGACCATGTGGAAATACATTCATTTGTGATACACAGATTATTTGAGATATTATTTGTTCTTTGGTTGGTGTACTATTTTTGTCATTGTTTTACTCAAGGCAAGTGTAGTTTCCCCAGTCAGATTCTAAGTTATTCAGGAAAATTATCATCATTGTTTTCCATATGTCACTCCACTTTAACATAGGCTGAGATAAATTAGTACTTGATTAGCAAATGCTTTAAACAATTATTTGAACGGTGCATGTTCTTGACTGTCAGTAACAACTCTTGTTTTTATATATTAAGAAAAAGGTCTAAGCCACCACATAACAAAAATTCTGTTTTAGCGAACATCCTTGCAACTTGAAAAGAATAAGCAATTAGTATATTGCTATTAGGCTGGTCCCAGCATGTTTTTATTGCCTTAATCTGTGCCTGAACAATAATCATGCCAGTTGCACTGAATTGACATAATAGGAATGACAGAAGTGTTTAGAACCCAGTTATAAAAATAAATTAAAGGCGAGGTACACCAACTCACCCCAGTAGTCTCTAGATATTCATGATTTTCCTCTAACTATTGGTCATCCTGTTTTGTACAAATGGCTTAAGACATTTATAAAGTACCTTTTTAAAACTGTAAATATGTACTAATATATTTCAATGTTTCATATGCTTGCTTATTACTGTAGTGGTTTAAAAAATAGACATCATTGGTAAGATTGCACTTACAAATAGAATGTAAATTACTTTTCCTTTGCTTATTTGCTTAGATTAGTTTAAATTAGATTTATGCAGAGGTTTTGGAAAATAAAATAATAAAATGTATAATGCAAAGTCTCCATCTTTTTACTGTCTCAGTAAAAGAAGTGAGATAATAGATTATAAGATTAGTTGCACAAGGACTATTACATTATTTTATAATAAAAATATTATGCTTGATCATTATAGCGTACAAAATTTTCATTTTCATAATCTCAGGACAAACTTGAGAGCTACCTTAAAACACACTGCCCTAAAATAACAATAATAACACTTAGCCAGTATTTAAGTACCTACCATGAGTCTGGCACTGTGCTAAGCACCTATATATACTATCTTATTTAATTCTCAAGCAACACTATGAGCTAGGTACTATTCATATCTCTATTTTACAGATGACACATTGAAATTCAGAGAGAATAAATAACTTGTTCACAGTTTCATATTTATAAAATGGCAGTAAAAAATTCTGTTCCAAATTTATATTCTTAAACACTGAATTGGCTCAGAATTTTGTATTCCACAACTGAGGCCCAACATACACAGGAAACTTCTATCCTACTACTACTACATACCAACACTGCCTCTGTTCATCTTCCCCTGGACATTGTACTTGTATTCACACTTTTTGCAAGTGAGGGTGTAGGCAGTTTGTCTTCCCTATCCTCCTCATTCTCTAATTATATAAACTAATTACTTGAGCACATACTAAATCATTCATTCCTCCTGAGCTTAAAGGTAGAGGACATTCAAAGATACCTCTTATGTATAATTTTCTTCCACTTATCCTGTAACTAGTATTAAAGATAAAAATGAAGTCCACGGATTAGATATACTCCAAGGTCAACTGCCCACAACCATGTGATCAAAATTTAAGAGATACTGATTTCCCTGAAATGCTATATTTAATCATAAACCCAAAACATATTTTACATTCTTGCAGCATAACTCAGTGACATTAAACTCTAGACAAATCATCTTAAATAGCTCTGCTTATCTTTGAAAAAAGGCTAATGTATAACAGCCAATCGCAATAAAAGTCAAAATCTTCCTTCTTTATGCTTTGTAAACTGTGCTGTAACTCTTGTAAGGTGAGCTTCTTATCACGTGGGTTAAAGTCTTCCCAATTGCAATTTGTACTTTGTGTATGACAATAAACTTTTAATTTTTTCTAACTTGATCTGATTTTATTTTTGACCTTAGTCATAGTCAGTGAAAAAAAAAATCAAGCACTTTCTTCATATTAACTTAATTATATACTCTATTAGGCAACATATTATATTCTTGATTCTACAAGAACAATACAAATAAATATTTTGAAAACTATTTAAGGAAAATCATGCAGATGTCTTAATAGTTGGAAACAATTGAAAAAGATAAAGACTATTCATTCTAGAGAAGCAAAAAATGAGGAATTATATAAAATAATATTATAAAGAAAAGATATCAGATGTGATAAAGGAAAAGATACCAGACTCAATTCACTTCACTGGAGAAATAATAGAAAGCAGAAGACAATAAAATTACTTCTTCAAAGTCTCAAAAGTGCAATTTAGTGTTTTATACCCTGTGCACCAATCTTCAAAAATTTTTAAAGTAAAAAAACACAAAAACTTTTGTTTCTAGCACTATGTCTACGTAAATAATTGGAAAATCCCCCTTCATAAAATATCCAGCCATACTAGATAAAATATAACAAGTATCCTTTCATACATGTCTGACGTTATAAGAAGTTGAGTGAAATCATGAGGGTTATGAAGAGAAAAGAGAAGAATATAAATCTGTGACTTTTCTGTGGGGTAATTTTTAGACTGTATTAAGTTAAGGGGGTTGAATTTATTGCTGACATACTGAAAAGAAGGAAGGCTTAGACCCACCCACATGAGACTGAAACTTGAAACTGAGACCTCATTTAGAGCTCAGAATTTTAAATGAATGAATAAATACATAGAGAATTAAAGAAAAAAAATAATTCACTAGCAAGAAAAGTTTTCTGACTCAACCAGAGGCATGTGTTGCTTTGGTTTACATTTTAAAAAATCTCTCTCACTTACTTTTTTTTTTTAATTATGCACTTTTAGTGTGATGTACCTAAATGTGTAAGTGTATTTTCCTTTGCATCAGTCTCATTTTGTGTTCATAGAACCTCTGAATCTTTGGTCCAAAATCTTTAATGGGCTTTGAAAAATTATCAGCTATAATCTTTTCAAATATTGTTTCACCTATTTCATTTCTCCTGTCATTCTGGGTTTCAGTTGAATTTATATTAGAACCTACCACTTCATCACATCTATCTCTTACCTTTTTGTTGTTCATATTTTCCATGTCTTTTTCTCTCTCTGCTTCAGCCTGTATTTATTTTTTCTTGTAGCCTAACTTTCCAGTTCAATAATTGTCTTCTCACACAGCAAATCTGCTTTTAAATCTATTTACTGAGTTATTAATTTCAGTGTTTTATATTTCTATTTTGAATATTTTTAGTTCCCAGTCTCTGCTAAAATTACCAGCCTTGCATTTTGATTCCTTGAACAAATAAAGCTTCAAATCCATATTCTGGTAAAGTGTCTATATCACCTATTGGCTGTATAGATTGTCTTTTGAAAATTTTTTCGTTCAGATATGACTTATTTTTCACATATCTGCTTATTTTGTCTGCTTAGATAGAAAAATTGGGGGAGATAATCTGAAACTTTGGAAGATTTGTCTTCTTCCAGAGATGAATTTTGCTTCTGGAAGGCAGTTATGTATTTATCAACACCATGACAATTTAAATGGACCAGTGATCTCAATGATCCAAAACCAGATAACACCGATTGTGAGGGCTGATATAATTTCTGTAAATTTTAATTCCAGATAGTAGTTTTTTGATGTTTCAATTGAAGGCCTGGCTATTTACCAGAGCTCTTTCCACATGGAGTGGCCTAAGTTCTAATTGTATCCCCCAATTCATGAATCTATCAAAATCTTTGTTCATTTCTTAGCTGCTCAATTTTCATGTTCACAATTAGCAGATGCACATATTTTGTCTATATGTTTTCCACTTATTCTAATGCGAGGGATGGTTGTTTAAAACTTATTTTTTCCTTAATGAAAGTAACATACACTTTTTCCTTAAAATATACTATTATCATTTAATGTAATTTATATTTTTCTCTTATTTATCATCTCTCCTCTCCAAAATAGGAACTTAATGAAGTTAAGGATCTTGTACTATTCTGTTCATTCTTGTGGTTAGTGGTTAGGCCCATTTAAAAGTATTCCTATTCTCCTTCTACTGGACAAGTTGTAAGACGACTACTTTTCTTCATTCAGATAGAAAGCTGATGTCCCCTTGTCACTTGCTTTGCCAATAAAAGGTAAACTTAAATGACATGGTTGACTTCCAGATAGGAATGTTATGGGTCTGAATGCACTACTCTTGGTTCTCTTTTCCCCTGTAAAAATTAATAACATTATATGGAATGGTTACTCTCTGGTTTCCAGAGTGACTTCAGTGAGGACCAGGGGCCCCAGGCAACAATAATGCATATTGTCACGCAAGTAGCATGAGCTAAAATAAATCCTTTTTTTTATGTTCCCTTAATGTTTTGAGATGGTTGGATATGATTGCATAACCTTTTCTGATGACTAGATCGCCAATGTCTAATGAAGTGCTGGAATATTATATGTGTTTGATAAACATTTGTTGAATGAATAGATAATGAACAGATGATTTGATCTAGTATTTATTATGTATTATGCATGGTGCTATGCATTTTACATATATTATTTCATATAACTACTTGAAATATCCTCTAAGATACATGTTATTACCTGCATTTTGTTCATATAAAAACTGAAATTCAAATTACCCAAGAAAATTGGCTGAATAGCAGACAATAGTTGAGTAAGATATCCAAAATTCATAACCAGGTCTATTACTCAATGGTGAAAATGCTATTAAATATTAATCTAGGCCAGGCGCAGTGGCTCATGCCTGTAATCCCAGCACTTTGGGAGACTGAGGCATGTGGATCACCTGAGGTCAGGAGTTTGAGACCAGCCTGGCCAACATGGGGAAGCCCCATCTCTACTAAAAAAAAAAAAAAAAATTAGCCAGGTGTGGTGGCACACACCTGTAATCCCAGCTACTAGGGAGGCTGAGGCATGAGAATTGCTTGAGCCTGGGAGAAGGAGGTTGCCGTGAGCTGAGATCATGCCACTGCACTCCAGCCTGGGTGACAGAGTGAGACTCTGTCTCAAAAAATAATAATAATAATTTAAAAAAATAAATATTAATCTGGAGCAGAAACTGATACTATATTAAATGTTATTGTATCAACGAAAATTAATTGCTTCTGGGAGGTATAAAACTGTATAAAAGGGCATATCCACCATTTACTATACCACCTGTAAGGGTACATCATAGAAGCAAGGTGGCTACACTCTGGTCAGTAATGAAGAAAATAAAATTTTATTTGATAGCACATTAAATTTAGTATATGGGAATAATTACCATATAAGACACCATATTTCCAATAAAGAGTCATGGAATTTTTCCTGTTGGTATGACATATAGGATCTCGAAGCCCCATTGGACTCAGTGGGACTCCACTTATAGGACAGCAATCCCAGCTTTCAGGCACAATATGCATATCAAACGTTGGCTTAATGAAATTCTTAAAGTAGCAGATAATTCCTTTGTTCTCACCATACTTGGCTGATGAAGAGGTCCATAATAGGAAGAATCCATTCCTTAATATAAACTCAATCCATTACCCCTGAAGCATTGTTAATGACAAAACAAGGATGAATAGTATTTTTTATCTCCAATGAGATTTTGCCTTCATCAGAATCAGATTGGATAATATGTTTTTCTAAAATTTAGGGGTGTGGAAAAGTTCAATACAATTAAAATTATACTTACTGTTTTGTAATGGCAAGTTAAGGGCATGTTCAGTTTAAATAACAAGAATTATATAGAATGCTTATTCTATTTCTGAATTTTTTGGCTCTGTGTCTTCACATTTCTGGTTCTTTAAGAGCTAAAAGCCCCTGCAACAAAAATAAAGCTATTGTAATGTCTTTCTAACATTTCTGCTAAATCCCATAATTTTTGTGTTTTTCATTGTGTATTTTTTTTAGATAAGTGGTATTTTCTTAGCATTTGCCTGACATGGTATGAGTATTCAGTCTCTAAGGAATTTTAAATGCATGAGTGTCAAAATACTGAATAAAATCTATCATTATGAATGTGTTTGAAAATGAATTTTCTTGGTTATGAATATATAGAATATTTAAATTAGATAATCCACCCTCTTAAAAAATTTCTACAAAGATACTAACATGGCAAAATTCATAATTTGAATCCAAATCCATATTGAAAATATTTTCTTCCTTATGTTAAATTCAAATAGCTGTAAATTGGAATAGAAGAGTACTCAAATTGTCACTAATTATCTTCCAGACTATACTGACTTCGAAAATGATGCAAAAATGAGGTGCCTTTAAAGAATGTTATTTAGTTCTGGGTAGTCATTAATGTGTTGAGAGCTGTCACAATGTGTTCATTGATGCTTTGGTTTGGCAGCGTAGGATCTATGAGAATTAGAAAATACTGTCAATATAGACTAAGTTTCATATGGGAAACCTAAGCATTAAGTTCTGCTAAAATTATGAAATGGAAAAAGTACTAAAGGATGTGAAAGTTGGAGACAACTTCAAGATTAACTGAAACCTAATATGAACATAACAAAATGGTAGAACTTATACAAATACTGGAGAAAGACTTTTCTAGAAAAGGTGGGGTTTTGAGAAGAAATTAAGAGGTAGCAAAAAATATCTCACATTCAAAGCAAAATAGATTGACCATTTTAAGTGCAGTAGATTTGTGAAGAGAACATGAGTATAAGATTGTATAGACAATTTGGATGATATTCTGTGGGTCCTAAAATATAATAGCAAAAACTGGGCTTCTTTTTTTTAAGTAAGAAGAGTCAATGATAGTTTTTTTTCCTTTCTTTTCCTTTTTAATAGAGGTAACGACAATTACAAAATTATTTAGATTAAGATAACAGTTTAACATTTATTAAGCAAAAACTATATGTCAGACACTGTGTTCAAGGGTAGTTATGTAATCAAGAATATATTCTTAAGTTTAATGTTCTTGTACCATAATAATGTTGGCAGCTATCTAAATCCAAGTATCTTCACATGAAAGGAAGAAAAAAAGAAGAAAGAAAGAAAGAGAGAGAAAGAAAGAAAGGCTTTTGTATATGTCTTCTACATAGTTTTCATTTTGAATCATAAAAATGCCTTACCTATTCAAAATTTAAATTAAAATTTTAAAATAAATATATTGCTTGTTTGTGACCATCATATATGCTATTTTTGCAAAGGTGTTACCTGTTGCCTGCTTTCAGTCTGCTAGTCTTTTATTCTTTTATTTATCTTTTTATTCTCCTTCTGAGGAGGTTTCAATGCATTTGTGGACTTCTTTATGATGGATGCATAGCCAGTTAATATTTACTTTCTTGTAACTTCTTACAGAGTTTTGTTTCCTTCCTTCCTTCCTTTCTTTTCTTTCTTTCTTTTTCTTTCTTTCTGTTGTTCTTTGTTTCTTTTTCTTTCTCTCTTTCTTTCATTTGCCTTACTGCATTTTTCCTCTATGCCTCATGAATAAAACATCATTGATAGTTTACGAGACAGTAGCATGAAAGTGTATATTCATATATTATAAATGCATATCTCTTTCAATTTTAAGCCTCTCCTTTCAAAACACTACAGTAAGATTCCAGATTTTCCAATTAGAATATTTCAGTTGGAAAGATCACTTTGACTGAAAAAAAAAGAAACAATTAAAATAAAATTCGTAGTACATTTTGTCATCAATATTTAAGAAGCTACATTTTTAAATCAAGCTAGGAATAAAGTACCTACAATTATCTCATTATATGGTGTAATCTGCAATTTAAATTATATATATACACACAGCAAACCAAGTATAAAACATGATTGGTAGCTTAAGAGATAGTGGTATGAAAGTGTATATTCACATATTATAAATGCACATATATGCCTATATATTTTAAACATATATATACTCGCAATTCTATACTTGGATTACTGTATAAATATATACAGCATAAGTGTATGTACGTGTGTGTGTATATATATATACACACACACACAGTATAAGTATACTGTATTCCACATAAGTATATATATATATGCACATTTATTTTCTCTCACAATATTGCCTGAGTGCTTGAGCTGATGATAACTTCTTATTGTAAGATTTTTAGATTTTTAGAAAGGAATAAATGTATAAGTTTCTTGAATGTTACGAGAGAAGTAACACCACTAAAAAAAATGTGTGTGGAGAACTAGACCTTTTAGTCTTATTTTTCTTTTTCATGAACCTGTATCAGTGCTGCGTGAATGGTACCCTCTAGGAAGTATTTAATCACACAAAGAATTTGAGAAAGGCGATAGAACAAAATCATAGTGCCATTCTTGTATAAAGTAATAAAGTATTTTGTCATTTATGATTTTGTTATATGGTCACAAATTCATAAGGTTAGAAAGACAGTGATAATTATATTCACTATGCAACTCATCATTTCCTATCGTGAACAGGATACATGACATTTGAGCTACATAATTAAACACTTGACCTGGACTAGCTCAACTATGTTCTTCACTTTATAAGTGAGGACATTTTATTTTGCACAAGACAAAAAGCCCAAAATGAACTAGTATTTTGCTAGACTTTTCAAAAAATATTAATCCAATAATTTTGATTGACACCCTAGTCTATTTTTATTTCTAAATTTTCCCAGAGCTTAGAAGATGCTTAATAATGACAGGAATGGTTTTACTATCTCAGCAGAAAGAGATCTCCAGTGCATGTGAAATATAGTTGCTATTTTTGGAAGACTGAAAATGCTAGATTGATGGCTATATATTATAACCACTATATGATCAATTTTCTATTAGTGATTTAAGGTAAAAGAAGAATCTGAGAACCACATGGGTCCAAGTGATTTCATTTGCACCACAGAAAATTGTACTAGGCACTTATCATTGACTGTATGAATTACTATGAGTTCAGATTACTTTAATGCCACACTTTCCTCTTTAGATGGAATTACACTTCTACAAAATTATTTTGTAACCACGTCCAATTTTTTTCATCTGATTTGAGGAGGCAGAATTGAGCTAACAACACACCCACCACCCCTACCAGCACTACCACCTCTACTTTTGAACTGAAGTGTGTGTGTGTGTGTGTGTGTGCGCGTGTGTGTGTAATAGCTAATAAGTAATGGCTAATAACAAACACCTAATGAATGGTAGGAAAGTCATCGGCCTTCTCTCCATATGTCTTCTTTCCCAAACATCATTTGTAATATTGAGTATAATGTTATTTAATACACTCAACACATTCTGAGAGTAATACAAATGCAATCCAGAATGTTTCATTAATGTAAGTCATGATTTCTAAATACTCCTCCTCATCCAATTTCATTTTAATTACAAATTAATTTTTAACTTAACATAAAGTCATATATTAAGTACATCTGCTCCTTAGGATTTGTTACTAACTTTATAGTTATAATTTCCTAATTATAATTTTCCAATAATAGTTTCCTAATTTCATAATAGTTCTTCTACAACCTAATGGTGATCCCTCAAATGTAAAGTTTGTTATCAGGAATAATTTTCAACAAGAAATAAAACTTTAAAAGAAGGTGATTCTATAGTTATTAAAATATTGCTAGAAACATATTAAAGCAAGAAAATCAATCAAGAGATAAAGAACATCACTACATCAAGTGTTAAATCTTCCACAAACTATGAGTGGATGATTTACAAAACAAAATAAAATCTCAAAGACACTGGAACAAAAAGTTTCCCATGTATTGTTATATATTTTTCTCTATATTAGTTTGTTCTTGAAGAGAAATTGATGTAGAAAAATCTTAATCTCATACATGCTTCCTCAAAATGGAAAATTTGAAGTTATAAATATTGTATTGGATAATTATATTGGATGCATATAAGAGTGAAAACATTGATGTTATTAGCATTTCCAGTGCACACAAGATAGATCCTTGTATTCATGGTGTTATTTTTCAAGGTGTTCAAGCAAATGGAGGTGATGTATATTAATTGATAGAGTGGAAGTTGTGTAGTAACTTGGAATGTACTCCCTGCAGGTAAAGATGATTTATTTCACAATTTGCTCATTGCTTCATCTGTGGGATAAATAAATGAAGTTATTATTGAAAAGTATTATTAGGGCTCTAAAAAATGTAAGTCATGAGTAAAAGAACTTAAGCCTCAGAGTAGTAATGGTGAGATGGCAGCAAAAGGTGTCTAGATTTAATTTTAATGTCTTCTGAGTCTGAAAGTCTATATTTTTAAGCAGGGGAACATACACAGTATAAATACTTCTATAATATTCATATTTGTATATCAAGTATCTGTAGCATTGAGTACATTTTTTAGTGCTTCTCATTTCTTTTACCTGATGTTATGGTAATCTATTTACTAATAATATGAGCCCAAATTCACATGTACTATCCACTTGAGCAAAGCATTTAACCTGTATTTGTATTATCCTTAAAATAATTCTGTAGGATAGATTTTTTTTTAATTTTACTTTTTGGGAAACTCATGTTCACAGAATTTAAGTCCCTTGATGAAAATATCATAGCAAGTGACTGAGTCAGTTAAGGAAAGAAATCTGGACTTTGAATTCTGCTTTGTGTGACTCACATCTGGGTGTTTTTCACCCCATGGTACTTGGAACTCCCTTTGTGCAGGGCTACATATTACTCACTTGAATCAATTTCTCAACCTTACTTCACCTGTAATGCTACAGGTCAAATCTGCTGAATGGATATGTAATTGAGAAGAATCTGGCGGGCATAGTGATGTCGTGTTAGATAAAAACTTCGGGGATCCCTGTGTTCCAGCATGTTCTGGACCTAGATAATAGTATGACCTTGAATACATTATTTCACCTTCTTTGTGGGCATCAAATTCTTCAAGTACAAAAAAGGAAGTAGTTATTAAAATTACATCTGATCATGGTTTTGTAATCTAGAACTCTATAAATAGGAGCTATTAGTAGCAGGGATAAAATTAATAATCCCAGCACTGGTCTTTATTCCAAGTTTATCCTGTCACTGCCAATATGCCGGCCAATCCCTGTAGCCTCTACCTCTTGGGCTCAAGCTATCCTCCCAACTCAGCTCCCCAAAGTGCTGGGATTACAGGAGCAATCCCAGCAACATGTCTGGCTAACTGGCCAGTCTTTTAAACATTTTGTTCTGGGATACACACTTCTACCTTCAGTCTTGTATTTTCTTCTTAGAATGAGAGCAACAGAAAATGCTCTATGATAGTATGAAAAGGAGATAAAGAGTCTAACACATAAATCTGGAACTTGAGACCATTTCATACATTTTTTACTTGGTAATCTGTGCTTTTGGTAAGTCCCTCAAAAAGTACGAAGTGGCAAGGATAGCTCAAAGAGTTTAAAGCCTAATTTAGTGTTCCTTTTTTATTCCATGTTTATTGCAGCACTATTCACAATAGCTATGATTTGGAAGCAACCTAGGGTCCATCAATAGATAAATGAATGAAAAAAAATGTGATATATTGACTATTGTTTCTTAACACAGCCACAGCAGTATTTTTGTTTTCATTTGACAAAAACATTACATTGATGTAATTTGATACTGAAGACACATTTTTTTTCTCCATACTGGATATCCATATAAGCAGTAGGTGGCTCTCTTGAGCTATTCGTTCGAGCATTCGGAAGTCTGACTGCCCGGGGATTCAGCCACACTTGGTAGATGGCAATCCCCTGTAAATACCTTGGGAGGAAAGGCCACTAACTCGAGAAAATCCAGATTATTGTATTACTTTCTAAGTGCTCTAAATGTTAATGCTGTGTTTTTTAAAGATACGCTGGAAATATGAAAATACACAGATTATCTCTTCAATTAAAGAAAATAACTTGCCTATGTTTCCCTACCAGTTTTCCTGATTCAAGACATATGCATTACAATAGTGAATTTAAAATTCCTTTGAGGATAAAGAGCTAGAAAAGATTAAGAAATTCATTGAACTACCCATCTGTTTTAGGTTTTTCTGTCCTCATATGCTTGACTGTGATAAGAAGATGGAAGTAAATGAATTGTAAATCGCACTGTTAACATTTAAAGTTTTACCAAATAAGGGTGGTTATTTTTCCTTTATTACATCAATGCTTTGTGTGGTGATTGCTATTCATAGTTGGAAATCCCAGCCAGGCTATAGAAGATTTTAGGTTTTATATTTTAAAATTTTTATATGTAGAAGGCAGAAAATGGTTTCATATTTTCTCTCTGCTAGCAGGTTATTTTTAAAATATAGAACTCTGCATGTGTTTAGTGGCACCACACCCCTCACTTTGTTATGCAACACTATGAGCAGGTAGTGGTAGGGTTTCCTATATTAAGTTTCAGAATTTTATTACCTATCAAGTGTCAGAAAGTTGCTGCCAAGATCATTAAAATCTACACAATAAATAGAGTAAAACTAATTCAACAGTAAAAAAACACATGCAATTGCCAAATCAGAGTTCCCAATATTAAATAACTTCAGAAACCAGACACATAATAAAGACGAGTGAAGCACATCGGGTAATGAAAGGAATGGGAAGGATACGGAGAAATGGAGACTTCTGTTGTGCCTGACCGTATTACTTATCAAAAGCTTTAAATCTGTATTCCGATGAAACTAAATGTATCCGGCCACAGTCTTATTGTTGAATACATGTTTGCAGCTCATGTAGGAAGGGTAGAAGAATCTGGGCTCTTGCCTGGACTCTCTGCTTTGTTTGGTTGTTTTAAATATAAAGTGCTGATATGAGAACAACCAGCTGTAGGCATACACTTATAATCAGCTACAGGAAATCTGGATAGATAAGACCCAGATGAAATTAAATAGAGAATAATAGTTCAAATGGGACACATTGAGACAGATTATTTCCTAATTAAAGTAGTTTGTTGTGTTTCTGAAGTTATTTCAATAAACTAGTATTCTGGTTTTCATCAGAAAATAACTATCACTTAAAAGAAATGGCTACTTCATCATATATTCTGGAAAGTTCCAGCTTTCTCATAGGTAATATAAGTTTTGTTTATTAGAGTTCAGTAGAGTGCTGGACAGTCTGCTATTTCTATACATAAGGAGAGCATTTTAAAAATGAAAGAAAGAATCCTCAGACCAACTTTAATCTTCTGGATGAGTCTACTAAGTTTCAGTTAGGTTAGAGAAATAATCTAAGAGCAAAATTTTAAAAAAGTGATTAGAACATTTGTTTCTTAATTTTATGCCCATAGTGTTACCAGACTTGTGGTTATATGCAAAATATAAAACATCTGCTATATTCTTCCTTACTTCACGACTTTGCAAGACAACAGTTCCATGCAAAAATAACGACACAGGTTTATATAGTTGGAAAAGCCATCATGTTCCACTAAATACCATCAATATTGGTAACTTGCATACAGCCAAGGCAACACTTACCTATAGTAACACAATTTTACCTGTGTGCTGGCAATTCCATTAGACATAACCCCTTCAGATATAGAGACTTCCTGTCAAGGCAGAGAATGACATCCCCTTGAAATAGACAGGCTGGGTACAGACTTTGTTTCGTGAGATTCATGTGTAAGATCATACACACACTCAGTACTTACTGGAAAATGATATTTAATAAGTCCTTCAAACTCAGACCTTTAGTTAAAGTTAACATACAAAATTCTTCAAATTTAATGATGTAATCATATGCTTGAAATTCTCCAAATTCAGTTATGCATTCCAATCTCTTCACATTAAGGCACGTATAATAAAGGATACTATTTGTAGAGCAGACTAGGACCCACCTCATGGTCAGACACTCTTGTAAAAGAGACACTCTGAGCTAAAGGTAGCTGTATTTCAGAACAATTGATGCAATGGCTCCACATTCCTTAGCCTGCTTCTTTACTTAAATAACACTCTGCATTTGAAAATCATAGCTCATGTATTATTGCATTATTCCTTTATCTATTGATTCAAGCAATTGTTACATTTTTAAAAATGTATGTACTGAGCACTGAACTAGAGGCTGTAACGACAACAAAAAGTTTATGCATGGAAGAATCACAATATCTGGACTGTGTTCTCAATAATTGTTCACTATCAATTAAAATAAATATGAGGTAGACACAAATCAGGAAAAACATAATACATGGTATGAATAACAATCATGGAGTAAAAGCCTTGCTCTCTATGTACAGAGGAAGGAGTGTCCATCATTTACCAGAAAATAAGGGCATGTTTCCCAAAGATAGTAATATTTGAAGATCCACAAACTCCTGGATCATTGAATGAGGACAAGTTAAGACATTCCAGCCTCCTTAATTTTAAAATCAGTGCAAAGGTTATTTTATTACATGTTGTATATGCTCTATGAATCCACAGCTTTTATCGGACAGATCATTAGTGCCATCTATTTAGCATATTTTATTTTTATTACATAAAAAGAGTATTAGGAGGAGGATGTGTGTATAGAAGAAATGGAGGAAAAGATTTTCAACACAAGATAACTAATTAACAACAACAACAACATGTTAAGTACAACTGCTTCTTAGTGACCTGGTTTGTGATTTAGTTCTTGAACCAAATGAGCTGACTCTAAGCAGATAGGAGTATTTCCTCGGGAGTTCTCCCAGTTTCTCCCATGGCCCATTGCATTTCAACCCACTCTTTAAAAGCTTTAGGGTCTCTGTTCTCTTGTTTTTCCTCATTTTCTTGAATAAAATCTTTGTATCCAGTATTTTCAATATGTCAAGATGCTGCAATTTGGCAATGCACAACACAAGTGTAAAAATATCTTATCTTTCAACCCAATAATTTTGTGCTGGATAAGTTGTCAAAGATCAGCAAAAGTTAGCTCTTGTTGAATTTCACAAGCAATAATTAAAAAAAAAAAAAACCTGAATCGTGCAACATAGTATTTTGGTAAATTGTGATACACTGCAGTGGTGGAATATGATGCAGATGTGACTAGTCTTTAGAAGAATAATCACGAAATATATTTTTTAAATTCCAGTTTTAAAAGAGAATGTAAAGCAAGTGTTAGCTATGATTATTATTGTGTGGAGGGCTCATGTGTGGATTTAAATATCTATTTTGATGTTTTGCCACAGTTTATAAATTTTCTATAATAAACATTATTTCTTCAATCTGAACATGCACAAAATAAATGCTGTCACATTTATACATCTGATTTTGCACAGTTGTCCATCTGATTTTAACTAGTATCACATACTGTCTTAGGGTTAAAGATTGGACCTTTAACTGTGGAAGTTTTGTTCTCACCCAGCTGATAAAATATGGAAGTGCTAGTAAGGAGTTTGTAGTACTTGCCTTAATATTCTTGAAAGCATACCTCTTAGACCATCAGATCTGCAATTAAGATCTTGGTCCAAGATAACATGTCCTAATTATTTATCTTTGGCTTTGAACTTTAACCTTCACCTGAAGTTAAAAAAAAAAAATGAAACTCTCTTGTACTGAGCACAAACTGTGTAGAAGGAGCTTTGTGCATGTACATTTGTTTAATCTGTACAACTATCTCATGAGGAAGGTGTCATTAGTTCTTTTTTAAAAAGTAATTACACCAGAGGTGGGCAGATCACGTGAGGTTAGGAGTTCAAGACCAGCCTGGCCAACATGGTGAAACACCATCTCTACTAAAAATATAAAAAGTAGCAGGGTGAGGTGGCGGGTGCCTGTAATCCCAGCTTCTAGGGAGGCTGAGGCAGAAGAATCGCTGGAACCTGGGAGGCAGAGCTTGCAAGTGAGCCAAGATCCATTGCGCCATTGCATTCCAGCCTGGGCCACAGACAGAGCAAGATTCAGTCAAAAAAAAAGAAAAAGGTGATTATATTGAAATTCATGGAAATAACATAAACTACTCCAAAGGTATTCAAGTAGAACTAGGAATCCAACTCAAATCTGTCCACCTACAAACGCCACATTACCTCCCCAGGGAAGACACTATACTTAGCTGGTGTCCTGGGAAACAATATATATATATTTTTTTATAGTTCTGAAGCCTTACACTCATTAGTCACTCCATGTTTCTCTGTCTTTTGCAAAAAATTGTGGGCGTACTTAGCCAGACACAATGAGAAATAGATCACTACCATCATCATCCCAAATATTGTATATAGTCTAATAAATAATATATGTACCCTTTGTAAATTCTTATAGAAAAATATTTATGCATAAAAATTATACTTAATTTGTTTTATGTTGCTAGTGACATACAAAGGGAAAACTCCTCATCCACCTGTTTAAATCAGGCATTAGAGTTATAGTAGCTCTTCTTAATGCAATGCCTCTCAACAAGAGTTCAGATGCCCTTGTGATTTTGAAACAATTTATTATCTATGGTGGAAAATAAATTTGAAGGTGTTTAAATTAAATTACTTCTCTAAGAATGAGAGTGAAAATCATCTGTTCAGATAAGTCATGATTTTGTTTTCAAAATTTTGACGAGAACTTAGACATTTAAAAATAATCACTAGTGGAATTGGAGAAAGAAATTACTTGGCACTCATCAAAGAATTTCTAGGTTGTATTAAACACCCAAACACATTTGCAGACCATGAAATGTAGAAAGACAACTCTACCTGTGTATTTTATTATTTTCTTTAATAATGCCTCATAACCCAGACATAGGAGGAGTTGAGTCAGACGATGTTATTCGATGTGTGAGTTTGTTATGTTTTGTTTCCTGGGGCAAAGGAGGTCAGGATATTGGAGGAAAAACTGGCTGCAGTTATATTTTTTGACACTCTAAGTAGACAAGTCGAAAAGTGTCAAGTAAAGTGGGACTTACATGTAACGAGAAAGTAGGTAGGGTAGTGTAGAGATTGGATAGTCAATCATATCAAAGTATACATATATACTTCATTGGTTAAAGGATACAAAATTTCAGTTAGATAAGAGGAACAAGTTTAAGAGCTCTATTGTACAACATAGGGACTATAATTAATAAGCTTCTGCACAGCAAAAGAAACTACCATCAGAGTGAACAGGCAACCTAAAGAATGGGAGAAAATTTTTGCAATCTACTTATCTGACAAAGGGCTAATATCCAGAATCTACAAAGAACTCAAACAAATTTACAAGGAAAAAAACAACCCCATCAACAAGTGGGTGAAGGATATGAACAGACACTTCTCAAAAGAAGACATTTATGCAGCCAACAGACAGATGAAAAAATGCTCATCATCACTGGCCATCAGAGAAACGCAAATCAAAACCACAGTGAGATACCATCTCACACCAGTAAGAATGGCGATCATTAAAAAAATCAGGAAACAACAGGTGCTGGAGAGGATGTGGAGAAATAGGAACTACTTTACCCTGTTGGTGGGACTGTAAACTAGTTCAACCATTGTGGAAGTCAGTGTGGCGATTCCTCAAGGATCTAGAACTAGAAATACCATTTGACCCAGCCATCCCATTACTGGGTATATACCCAAAGGATTATAAATCATGCTGCTATAAAGACACATGCACATGTATGTTTATTGCGGCACTGTTCACAATATCAAATATTTGGAACCAACCCAAATGTCCATCAATGGTAGACTGGATTAAGAAAATGTGGCACATATACACCATGGAATACTATGCAGCCATAAAGAATGATGAGTTCATGTCCTTTGTAGGGACATGGATGAAGCTGGAAACCATCATTCTCAGCAAACTATCGCAAGGACAAAAAAATCAAACACCACATGTTCGCACTCATAGGTGGGAATTGAACAATGAGAACACTTGGACACAGGAAGGGGAACATCACACACTGGGGCCTGTCATGGGGTGGGGGGAGGGGGGAGGGACAGTATTAGGAGATATACCTAATGTAAATGACGAGTTAATGGGTGCAGCACAGCAACGTGGCACATGTATACATATGTAACCAACCTGCACGTTGTGCACATGTACCCTAAAACTTAAAGTATAATAAAATAAATAAATAAAAATTGCTAACAGATTTTAAGTTTTCTCACCACAAAAACATGATTAAGTATGTGAAGTAATACAAATGTTAATTAGCTCAATTTAGCCATTCCACAATATACACATTTTCCAAACATCATGTTCTACATGGTAGACATATGCAATTTTTGTCAATTAGAAAAAACTAAAAATTAAATAATATATTCATATAAATAACAAGAATGATAAGATATAGTGTCAACAATGATAGATATTTGAATTGAACATTTCTGGGTGATGCCAATTTACATGTGGCTGAAACAGAGTGAATGTATTGGTCACTGAAGTTGAGGATGTTGATGGGATAGAAGGTTTAAAAATGATTCAGGATAATGACAGTATTTATAATAAGAAGACACTCTGAGCTACTAATTAAGTCATTACTAAAAGATGTTAGGCATCTTAGAAATGATAGTAGGTGGTAATCAACTTAATTAGACACGGTTTCAATTGGACTTGCTGCTCTAAATGTAATTTCCACATTAGGGCAAAATGAATAGAACTTCACACTTGGAATGGAGGTATTATTATGGCAAATGTTTTTGTTTTCTTTTTCTTGATATAGATTTAAATTTCTTCCTCTATCCATGATGCTTTTCAAGCACCATCATCCATGGACATGTATACCGTTCTGTAACTTAATCAAAAATTACTTCTTTTTGAAAAAGTAATTTCAACTTTTATTTTAGAATCAGTGGGTACATATGCAGGTTTGTTGCATGGGTATATTGTGTGATGCTGAGGTTTGGAGTGTGAATGAATCTGTCATCCAGGTAGTGAGCAGAGATCCCTATCGGCCCCTCCTTTCTCCCTCCCCATTTTAGTAGTCCCCAGTGTCTATTATTCCCATCTTTATGTCCATGTATACTTAGCTCCCACTTATGAGAACATGTGGTATTTGGTTTTCTGTTCCTGCATTAATTTGCTTAGGATAATTTAGGCCTCCAGCTGTATGCATGTTTCTGCAAAGGATGTGATTTTGTTCTTTTTATGGCTATGTAGTATCCCATGCTGTACATGTACTACATTTTCTTTATCCAATCCACTGTTGATAGCATCTAAGTTGATTCCGTGTCTTTGCTATTGTGAATAGCACTGCACTGAATATATGTGTGCACGTATCTTTTGGCAGAATGATTTATTTTCCTTTGAGTGTACACCCAATAATGAGACTGCTGAGTCAAATGGTAGCTCTGTTTTAAATTCTTTGACAAATCTCTGAACCGATTTCCACAGTGGTGGGACTGCTTTACCTTCCCACCAACAATGTAAGAGTTCCCATTTCTCTGAAGCCTGGCAAGCAATTGTTATTCTTCCACTTTTTAAAGGCTATCACCATTCTGACTAGTGTAAGATGGTATCTCATTGTGGTTTTGACTTGTATTGACCTGATGATTAATGATGCTAAGCATTTTTATATGTTTTTTTTTTGCCCACTTGTATGTCTTCTTTTGAGAAGTGACTGTTCATCTCCCTTGCCCATTTTTAATGGGTTATTTGATTTTGCTTGATTTGTTTAAGTTCCTCTTAAATTCAGGATATTAGACCTTTGTGAGATGCACAGTTTGCAAATGTCTTCTCCCATTCTGTAGGTTGTCTGTTTACTTTGTTGATAGTTTCTTTTGCTGTGCACAAAATCTTTAGTTTATTTAGGCCCTATTTGTCAATTTTATTCTTTTTTCAATTGCTTTTTGGGACTTAGTCAAAAATTCTTTGCCACAGCTGATGTTGAGAAGGCTATTTACTAAGTTTTCTTCTAGGAGTTTTATAGTTTTAGATCTTACATTTAAATTTTTAATTCATCTTGAGTTAATTTTTTATATAATGAAAGGTAGGGGTTCAGTTTCATTCTTCTGCATGTGCCTAGCCAGTTATCTTACCTCCGTTTACTGATTACGGAGTCCTTATTGCTTGTTTTTTATTGTTTTGTTGAAGATTCGATGGTTATAGGAGTGTGGTTTTATTTCTGGGTTACCTATTCTGTTCCATTTTTCAATGTGTCTGTTATTGTACTAGTACCATGCTGTTTTAGTTACTGTAGCCTGATAATGTAATTTGAAGTTGGGTAGCATGATGTCTCCAGCTTCAAAAATCACTTCTGATGAAACCCATTTGATAGCAAAATAAGGAAAATAATAATGTCATATTATTCACTTATATTATCAGTTATCTCTTTATTCTCAAACAGCCCTAACCTAGTTAATGTTCAGCTGTAAAATGTATCTGGAAAAAAACATCTCTTGAGTTGTTGCTTTGAAACAATTAACACATAGTACTCTTCTAGTATAACACTAATATGGTCTTGGAAAGTATACACAGTAACAAGACTATACTTCAACAACAACTGCAGATCTCAGTGGCTTAACACAACAGTTTTTTATTGCTCTTCATATATGCCAGATAAAGGCTGGTGTACACACATGTGTGTGTGTGTGTCTTAGGGGATGTTCCACTCTACAGTCCCATGGTCACTGTTTGATGAAGAGACCCTGTTTGATGATGATCCCAGCATTTAGAATGCCAATGGTATCGGTGCTATAGCAAGAGAAAAAACAGTTGAAGAGTGGCATTCTATTTCATCTATGTTTTGGAATGGAAGTGATACCTAACACTTCTTCCCACAGCCCATTACTCAGAACTATTTTTGTTGTTTCACTTAATAGGGGGTGGGTAGAGTGGAGAAATGTGGGAAAATAGATGGAATATTTGATGAACTCTCTAGTGTCTGCAACAAAACTCTCCCTCCAATTGTCAACCAACAGGATTTTTACAGCCTCTTATTATGGGCAAGTCACCGTTATAAGATTTGTGATAGGTAAAATACATGTCTTTTGTGTAAAGTAGAAGAAAATTATTGTAAATATAGGTGAACCACACATGCAGTTCAATCTTAGCAGATGTTATCTATAGCACTGAGGTCTTGGAAATTGACTTTCTGACTTATTTTTAATGAGTTATAAATTCTAAATATATTGTGGTTTCAAGTGAGCAAATGGCATGATCATTAGTTGATCTTATTTTGTTATGAAGTGATGGAGTCAAAATGATTGAGCAGTATAAGAATAACACTGACTTTTCGATGTCAACTCTGCCTCTGTATTCTCACCTTTAGAATGTAGTCTCTGGTAACCTGTCCTATTTACACATTGTCTTGGTCTGCCATTTTTTTCAACTCAATATCTTCTTTAAATAATAATGATAATTTTATCTCTATTTTTCTTGACTCCATATCTTCTCATTTGCCTCAATCTATGTCTAAGATACTCTTCTCAGCTCTGTTCTTTGGCAAGCTATTGAAAAATAATTACATCTTTGAAGTTACGAATGGTGAATTTTCAACATTCTTAAACTGTATCATGTATGGACACTGCATATTAGAAAAAGCGAGTCAGTGGCTGGGCACGTTGGCCCATGGCTGTAATCCCACTACTTTGGGAGGCCACGGTGGGTGGATCTTTTGAAGTCAGGAGTTTGAGACCAGCCTGGAAAACATGGTGAAACCCCATCTCTACTAAAAATACAAAAATTAGCCAGGCATGTTGGCATGCACCTGCAGGAGGCTGAGGCAGGAGGATCACTTGAACCTGGGAGGTGGAGATTGCAGTGAGCCAAGATCACACCACTGCACTCCATCCAGCCTAGGTGACAGAGTGAGTCTGTCTCAAAAACAAAACAAAACAAACAAACAAACAAACAAAAAAACGCTTGTCAGCAAAAGGTCTGTATCTCCAAGTTGAACCAAATGGATAGTGTCTGCTCTTTCAGGGACCCATAGCGGTTTCCTTTCAAGTTTTTGAGTTTTTGTTCTACTGTTAGACCTTCAAAACGTTCAGAGCAAGCATGTATTCCATCTTTTGCTGACTAGAAAACACAAAATGACAAAAGATCATATGTTTGGGATGCATTATTAGTATTATGGAACACACATGGTCTGCATATACATTTTATGAACAATATTTCAGGGGTCCATATATACAAACTGGAAACCATTCATCAATGAAAACCTGCTAAATCCCTGTTACATTCTTTCAGTAAGCAGAAGTAAGACATGATTATTCCTTTTTCCTTTTCAAAAATATTTTTCCTGTAAGAATATAAAGCAACTCCGGTAGTGCCAATAAGGATTCCATATGAAGTGATTTTCCTAGTCCTGTAAAATGTGATTACTTAATTGGCCTAATTGTGTTTTTCTGTTTTGGAAGGTGAACTCCCGAGGAGCAGAGATCACATGTAATTCTGCTCTTACTTATCAGGATGAAGAAAGCTGTGCAACAAGTTTGGCTGAGTTATTTTAGAAGAGATACATATTTTCTAAATGAGATTTGGATAACAGCCTACGTCTAATCCTCTGGTGACTGAAGATGCAAAGAATTGTCAGAGCAGTTTGGCTCATCAAGCTATAAAGTACAAAATTATTATGACACTCAGTTGGCACATGTGAAACCAACCGAACTAAACCCTTAATCCTGTGTAGTCCCTCAAACAGGATCTGTTTCTAAGAGGCAAGCAGCAGTTTTGTGGATTATATATATGTTACATGATTGGAGTGAGTTAAAAGTAAAATAATATGAAGGCCAGTATCAGCAACCCATTGCTTTGTTTTTATTTAGTTTTTGGTAATTTCATGGCTTGAATATTACTTTCCACTTCTGTCTACTCATACATAGGAAGCTATTTTAATGTTGCTAAGATTAAATATTGATGCTTATGTAGTGAGCAATGATGGCTTTTAAGACCTGAATTTATGTTAATTTTGATACATCCAATTATCATGCATGTAATAGTAAGTACCATTGTTCTTTTGCTCAAACTATTTATAATTAAAGAAAATATGAGACATTTCAGCTCAACAATAAACCATTTATTTGTGGTCAGTAAGGTGTAACATATCAAAGTCTATTTAGTCCAATGTTTAGTTTTCACAATGTTGAATTTTCAAAAAAAAGAGATTATGCTAACATTAGCAGACATATGTTAACAGTAGCAGGCATTCCAGCATAATTTATGTCTACCAAACACTAACTGGGACCTGAAAACCTAGACACAATATAAATAAATAATAAAGTATATAATTCTTCTTTACAAAAAATAAGCTAGGAGTCAAAATACCAAAATTAAGAGATTTTCTTACATAAAGAGTGTTCTCAGTCTCTAATACCTTTAATGGCAGAAAAGACAACTAAATGTCACTAGGGTCTGATTGTAAAGATTAAAGAGTAAAATGTCTTTGTTTTTTGAAATCTTCAATTTTGTCTAATTTTTCTATTCTACGATCAACAAGTTTATATTTACTTTGGAATAAAGCATGTTTTTATTCGAGATTTTACATGAATTTAATTCAAGAGATTAACCAGGTTTATTCTGTGGGCTGAGTTCCTCTTGAAAATCATGCCATAGTCTTTGATATCATACCTACTCCAGTTACAGAAGCATGAAATTGAAGTGTTTGTCCTTAAATGTTTCGTTAGGTAACACTACAATGGCTATGGAAAACGGAACCATTTAACTGACTTAATTCCCTTACATTGCTTCCTGCTACCCTTCCCACAATGCCTAATATTCTCCCTAAGCTAAAAGAAAGGGTATATATGAAAGTTCTAAGTAGGAAATGCTTATTTAGTGTCTCCTATTGCAGAAACTGTCTGAAATCATTGTGACACATACAAGAGAAAAGATCCCTGTCCTCATATAGATTACATATCAGTTTGTATGTATGGAGAAACAATGAGCAATACACAGAGTAAGTGTGCTATGTACTAAATTGGAAGAGAATAAGTACTAAAAAATACTGAAAAAGAACAGGGTAGAGGTGATTTGACATGCACAGTAGGTATCCAGGGTGCAAACTACAATTTTAAATGGGGTATTTGGGGTAAGTCTCAGCAAGAAGATCACATTAAAGTAAAGCATATATTAAGTATGTGATGGAGTTAGCCATGCAGATGTCTAAAGAGCTTTCCAAACAACGACAATAGCTAAGACAAGATTCTATGGGGGAGCGTGTCTGTCAGTTCAAGGAATGACAAGAGCACAGTGGGACCAAGCAGAGTTAGTGGTACAAGACTAGTAGAAAGAAATGTGATCACAGAAGTTAGAGATAGGGTAGACCATAGGAAGCCTTAGGAAGCATTTGACACCATTGGGAATGGGAAGCCTTTGCAGGGACATGAGTAGAGGCATAAGATGATACAACTTATATTTTGAAATACAAACCACAAAGTCACTCAATCTATTTCTTCTGTATAGACTGAAGAAGGTTAATAAAAAATCAGAGAGATTATTTAGGAAGCTATTCTCATTATCAAGGTAAGTGATATTGATGACATAGATTAGGGGCTTATGAAAATAACCAAAAAATAGTTTTTAAAACAGCAAAATGATTCTGGGTATATTTTGAAGTTATTTCAATAGTATTTCATGGTGGATTCATTCAAGGTATGAGAGAATAAGAGTCAAGCAGTTGGCCCAAGCCACTGGGAGGATAGGGTGCCACTAACTGAAATGGAGGAGGCTGTGGGTGAGAAAGTTTGAAAGGATTCTCAGGATTTAAGTTTTGGACATACTGATTTTGAGATGTCTTCTAGTGAGGTAAAGATGATCAGTGGAGTTACATATATAAATCTGGAGTCCATTGAACAACCTTAACAGGAGACACACATGTTAGAGTTATTGAAATTGAGACGGTATTTAAAGTTACAAAACTGGACAAGATCAGGAAAGATGGTATTTAAAATAGAGAGTGAGTAGAGCAGACACTAAGCTCTGGAGAACTCTGGTATTTAAAGATCAAAAAAGAGAAGGCGTTGTCTTAGTCCTCTTATTCTGCTACAATAAAAATACCTGAAACTGGTAATTCATAAAGATGAGGCATTTATTTTCTCACAATTCTGGAGTCTGGAAAGTCCAAGGTCAAGGTGCCGGCAGGTTTGGTTTTCCCTGAGGGCTGCTCTCTGCTTCCAAGATGGTACCTTGTTGCTCCATCCTCCACCGAGGAGGAACATTGTGTCCTCACATGACAGAAGGCCAAAGAGCAAGGGAGCCGATCATCGCATAAAACCTTTTTTAAAAGGGTCTTAGAACATTTACAAAGGGGAATCCCTCAAGGTCTAATCACCTCTTAAAGGCCCCACCTCTTAAAATTATTACATTGATCATTAAGGTTCAACACCAAAATTTTCAGGACACATTCAAACCATAGCAGAAATAATCATTTTTAATGATGAAGCTAACTTATTTGTTAGAAATCAACGCATATAAATTATTAACAATTTAAGATTAATAGGGAACAATTTAAATGAGAGCAGTAAGGCTTATTATGACAGAATCTACAATCTGATTGTCATTAAAAGTTGACTTCTAGGTAATACCTGCTACTTGCCTGAGTAACTTATATTATTTGATTTATGTTTCTGCAGTGGGTAGGTTTAAGAATGAAAGAGGCCTTTGGAATTTTAGAGAATTGTCATGTAAGTTATAATTTAAATTATGTATGCCAATTTTGGATGATTTAATCCTGTATCAATGAAATAATGGAGATTAAGCTGAAATACTAAAATAAAATATCTTAGAATTTCCTGTAGAAAGTGGGTGTAAAGAACATATGCATGCAACCTTACTTGCCCAGCTGGACACCCCTTCAATTTGTTCCCTTAACTTTAGTGGTTATCTTTGGCAAACCGCTAAGCCCATTAGAGCTTAGTATTTTAATATCTAATACAAAACACACACACACACACACACACACACACAGACAAACACACACACATCATGCATCACACACATTTAATAAACAGTGATATGGAGATCTAAAATCTATTTCTGAAATGTCTTATTACAGAGGTAACTCTTTAGATGGGACTTCCTCTTTCAGCAGATATTTGCAACTTTCTTAATGTAAGATTCATGAGATTATGTAATCTTAGGTGGTTTAATTTTGCAGTCATCCACTGATTGTACGGAAATGATAGGGCATTTTGTGGAATGAAAATGGGTCACTGTTGCCTTACTGGGCTTCCAGAAGTGATATCACCATGCATCCTTTAAACAGAAAATAATAGGTTAAGGATATGAGGATTCTCTCGTTATAAAACCCTTTGTTCTTCCTTTTCAATCTCTAGCCTTCAAGATGCATCTTGTCATTTTCCCCAGAGTTCTATTTGTGTCACTCTCAATAAAGCTTTTTAAAGTGAAATGCTAGATTCAGATTCATTGTTATGCTAACCAATGCACAAATGTTCTTGCATCTTATTTGAAAAGAAATAACTTGAAAGCATAACATTTACATTTCGAAAACACATCTTTTTCTACACAGACTTACCTATATCCATTTCATTATCACTACTTCTAAACAGTACCTATTTGTAAAATTGTTTTTATCTTAGCCTAGTTTATTCAGTAACAGAACTGTGGAGCATGCAGGTCTTTGTGTATGCTCTTAATGGCAGTACATCTACATTTTATGTAGCTCTTCTTGATTTTGAAAGGATTATGAATGGATGACTTCTTTTTCCATTGCATTCTCTCTGCAAAGCCAACTTTTCCCTTTCTTGTTTCTGTAGAAAAGACATTCATAGCCTGGTTTAATGCATGTATTGTGTAAGTCTCAAAGGTCCAAAAATTCTCGAAAATTCTATGACATGTTGGTTGTTTATAATGTGTTTCTTTTTTCCTCTTCTTTTTCTTTCTTTCTTTCTTTTTTTTTTTTCCTTTCACAGCCTTCTTCAGAGAGTCTATAAGCTCTAAAATGTTACTTGCTAACCTGGAAAGTCCAAACATAATACAGAAATGGGTGTTACTTTCTAAAAATAGCAATGCATTAGTAACCACAGTATCTCCATTTTCCTTTGTGATGTACCAAGTTCATCTTTCCTAATGCCCTAACTTATAAAAGAGAACATTCTTTACAGCACATCTGTTAATACTACTACAGCTATACTTTTTTGCAGAAAGACAAGCAGAAGCAAGTTGAAACCTAAATGTAGGGAGAGAGAACAAAGCCTATGTGGAGATTTTAGAGTGGTAACATTTAAGGGTGCTTTCTGAACATATTGTTTCTGATAGCCTATAGACCCCTAATTTGCCCCAATAAAGATACAATACTAGAGAATGCTGACATTACTGTTTTTTTAAATACCTACAGAAATATAATCACACTGCAATTTGCAACTTTAGTTTTATTGATTTTTAATTATCTGATTTGTTATTAACCAGGGATATTAGTTAACACTAAAGGTACTGGGATAACCAATTAAATAGCTGGCGAAAGCTGAAGACTAATCATGGAGTATGGTGACTTCTTAGAGAGCACTTATCTGAGTAATGGGGGAATAGGAGAGAGACAGTTCTAGGTATGCAGCAGGAAAAGAATGCTCAGAACTAGAGAAATAGAAAACAAGGGAGAGAATAGATGGGACTTTTGCCTCCATTATTTTCTAAGATTTATTTTTGATCAGGATGGATTTACATCCAAAGAGATATATTCCTTCTGTACCCTTTCTCCACCCTTATAAAGAAAATTCAGATTGTACATATGACTAAGGCAGTCATTTCACATCCTACGTGGATACTCAGGAGGTCTTTCTGAAGTGCAGCCACAGATATTGTCCAGGGCAAGGCTTTTCATCTAGCTGGAATGAATGATAAGCATTGTGTATTTCCAATCTGTCATGGACCAAAGCTGTCTGTAAAAAATTTTATTTTTAATTGACAAATAATAATTATATGTAATTACAGAGTAAAATGTGTTTTTTTAAAAATTGTGTCTATAATTGACATAACAATTATATATGTTTATGGGGTACCATGTGATGTTTCAGTACATGGGGCCAATACTTTTGAAAATTACAATAAAAATGAATTAAGAGAAAAAATGAAATAAAAATAGAAAATTCAATTCCCACTTTGTTATCAACAGATTCAACAGGCATAAAAATCTGCTCAATATCTGGGAAACTTCTAAATGATCACTCTCAAATTCTGTACATCACCTCAGACTGGTAACAAACATTTTGCATAAGATCAGCAGTTGGCATATCACTGTTAGGCAGCAGTGGTTTAAAGCATAGGGAGAGTAGTGCTCACAAAGAAAGTAAGAAGATGGACCTCTGGATTTTTATTCCCCATAGAGAAATAATCCAGTTTTTAATTCTTTGTCATGCTTAAGATTTGCTTTGAAGTATGTTTCCCCTACTTACAAGCAAAATTAAAACTCATTCACATGCTAAATGGGAATTCACATAGTGACTCTTTAAGTCAGTGTTTCTTAAAGGATTGTCATAGTTAAACACATTTTTTTTTAATCTGTGGACTCTTTCCTTGTCCTGTAGATTAGAGAAGAGTGTACTGCTATTTAACTGTTTGGGGTCAGGGATTATAGATATCCGGAAGACAATCATATACCACTGAGGAAGTGTGCTAATTATCCATGATTTTAATATTCTGCTATTTTGCTTATAAAAGCAAATTATTTTCACAGGTTTAAGAGTTGTGAATTTTCCATGAAAGCCCTGAAGATGATTATACTTTGGTTTGATTGAAATTTCCTCCTAAATTGTTTTCCGTTCAGAAAAGAACATCAGAAAAATTAATGTTGCTAGGCATTTGACTCCTAAATGCAACACCCTTAATCCAGTGTACTTTATAGATGCAATGTTCATGGTGGTTCTCTGTGTAGTTGCATTTCACCATTTCATTATATTTTTCAGTGTAGTTGTGTCCAAAAGTTCACATATTGAAAGTCACATTATTTTATGTTTAAGGCATTTTTTTATTTCTGATTTTTATGACAGTTAAGACTTTATTAATTTTAAGATAATATCTGTGTAGTCAGGATATATTTTCAATAAATTTTATTTCAAAATAGTAAGGGGACCATGTAAATTATTAGTTTGGGAATTAATAGTCTGTAAATTATCCATTGGGATAGATGAAACTAAAAGCACCTTACATAATTCTGTGCTGTGTACTAGCTTTGTGTAGTAGACATCTGCATATTATGTAACAGAAGTACTGCAGCATATCTTATACAGACATATCAAAATTAATCTCCTTTTGTAAGTTTTACAAACTTGTTCCTGGTCCTGTTTTCAATTCCTCTTTATTAGGCTACACCTGTGAAAACCTATTTTTATCTCCCCACCAAACTTAATTATTGATAATAGCCTGAAACAAAAAGAAAAAAAAGGAACTGTATTTTACAATAAAATCATGGTTCGATATTCTCTTGATCTATATACTAAAAAATAAAACACCCAATTAAATGTGAGAAGACAAAGTGAATCAATAGACCTATATTAACATTTTAATGAAATTTTGTTTTCTCACCTTAGTTCTGCTTATATATCAATTGATACACAAGCCTCATGGTTGATAATAATGTTGGAGTATTAAATATTACTTGCAGCACTTACCTTTTCCCAAAACTTCATGTACTTTTTTCATAAGCTAAGGATAAATTCCCTACAGACTCTGTGAAAGACAGTCAAGTGACCTCAGTGTGTGTGTCTTTTAGATGTGTCCCTGGATAAAGTCAGGTGCTTAACTGCTAGAGAATTTCCTGGAGGCAAAGTATAAATACAGAAACTTAGAAACCTAGGCAGTCACTAGATTCATCCCTGCCAGTGCAGGAAATTCCACCTCCCTCATTTAATTCTTCCCATCTTTGATGTCTTAATTTTTTTCTCTGACATAGTTGGCCAGTATGGGTGCATACTGATGATAAAAGGCTGTGCAGCACACAAGGACATTCATTCAAATTGGAAATGACATTGGGATAATGTTAAAAAAAAGTCTTAGGACAATTTTATAACCAAATGTCTAATTGTAAGTGAAGGGGTTTAAGTAGAAAGAGGAAGAATGAAGTGAGATTTAGTGATGCAATACAGAACCCAAGAGAAACCGAGAAGGGTTTGTAATGCAAAGCTACATGATGTAAACTTTATGAGAACTTTAATGCAGTTGTAAGAAAATGCCCTTGAGCCAAGTAGTTTAATTATAGCAATATTTTTGAGGTTCACGTTATAAAAAGGAAAGTCAAAAGATAAATATTTATTTAGAGTTGTTAGGCAATAGTATGAGCTAATGTATTTCAAAATTCCATCAAGACTATGCAGTGTGACCACCATGGCACAGGTTTACCTATGTACCAAACCTTCTCATCCTGCACATGTACCTCAGAACTTAAAAAATGTTGAAAAGAAAATTCCACAAAGAAAATTTCCACAAAAGATAGTGTTCTGTTAATTGCACAATTGTAGGTCTAGTGTAAGATTTCAGTTGTTTTAAGAAAATTCTGTTTTTTTTACAAACTGAAACCAAGGGGATTTTTTTTTTTTTTTTTGAGGGAGTCTCGCTCTGTCGCCCAGGCTGGAGAGTAGTGGCGCGATCTCGGCTCACTGCAAGCTCTGTCTGCCGGGTTCACGCCATTCTCCTTCCTCAACCTCCTGAGTAGCTGGGACTACAGGTGCCCGCCACCACGCCCGGCTAATTTTTTGTATTTTTAGTAGAGATGGGGTTTCACTGTGTTAGCCAGGATGGTCTTGATCTCCTCATCTCGTGATCTACCCGTCTCGGCCTCCCGAAGTGCTAGGATTACAGGCGTGAGCCACGGCGCTCGGTCGGGGATTCTTAACTCACAAATGTTTACACTGAAGCTTTATTATTACTATTACTGATGTGAAATAGAAGACTTCCTGTTTCTAAATGCACACTACCAGGAACAGATTAGAAAAAAAATATTGATTATTGCTCGTAAGTCTACTAACCTGCCATTTGTTTGGATGCACATGTCATCTCTAACAATATTGTTAGTTACATGAATGGAGATGTAGGAAGAATAACATTCCAATGGGTGGTTAATAAAGCTTAAAAATACCAATACGCATTAAAAATTATTTTGAATACTGAGTAAATGCCAACATGATAAGATAGGGTTTTGATTAAAAAATCATTTTTAACTTGTATTTTAAGTTCAGGGGTATATATGAAGTTTTGTTACATAGGTAAACTTACGTCATGGGGGTTAGTTGTATAGATTATTTCATCAACTAGGTATTAAACCTGGTACCCATTAGTTATTTTTCCACATCCTCTCACTCCTCCCACCCTCCAATCTCTGAAAGGCCCCAGTGTGTGTTGTTTTCCCCACACATCCATGTGTTCTCATCACTTAGCTCCCACTTATAAGTGAGAACATTCAGGATTTGGTTTTCTGTTCCTGCATTAGTTTGCTAAGGATAGTGGCCTCCAGCTTCATCCATGTCCCTGTAAAGGACATGATCTCATTTTTTATGGCTGCATAATATTCCATGGTGTATATGTGCCACATTTTCTTTACTCAGTCTATCTTTGATGGGCATTTAGGTTGATTCTGCTACTGTGAATAGGGCTGCAATGAACATATGCATGTATGTGACTTTATGATAGAATGATTTGCATGTTTGGGGGTATATAACCAGTAATGGGACTCCTGGGTTGGATCGTATTTCTGTCTTTAGGTCTTCGAGGAATCACCACACTGTCTTCCACAATGGTTGAAATAATTTACACTCCCACCAACAGTGTATAAGAGTTCCTTTTCCTCCATAACCTCATCAGCATCTGTTAATTTTTGCCTCTTTAAAAATAGCTATTCTGACTGGTGTGAGATGGTATCTCATTGTGGTTTTGATTTGCAATGTTTTTGATTTGAATGTTTTTTCATAAAAATCATTATTCATTCCTTCATTTAGTACAAATTTGATAAATGGTCACTATAAATTATAGAAACTTCTTAGTGTTTTTGTCGGTTTCTCTTTGTAGATTAGAAATTGCCTAATCTCTTTCATGGGTCTCTTCTCTTTCTAATGAAAACTTTCATTTGCCTCTCTCTCTAATTTTTAAAGCTTAATATTCCATCAAATGTCTAATGAATCCCAAATTTATATTTCCAAACTATGCTTCTTTGCCCAAACTTCTACTCAACTCCTTCAATTGTGAGGCTTTAAGCAAGCCTCAAACTCAGCATTTCCAAAACTGAATTGAACAGTTTCCTCCTAGAAACTTGGTCCTAGTCCAGGTTTCTCTACAGCATAGAAAAGAATCCCAATTCCTCCAGTTGAGCAAGACAAATCTGAGTCATGCTTTAATCTTTCTTCTACCTTATCCTTACCTCCCATTTCCAATCTAACATTGAGGGCTTTACTTTATCTTTACCTTTGCTTTACCTCAATATATTTCTCAGTTCTGTATACACACCTACAATCAATAACCTCTGCTTACCATATTCTTGAGAAGAATTTGGAGGCATGCTAAAATTCTCCCTTTTCTTCCATTATTTCTCTCTACAGTCCAGTCTCCACACTGTAATCAGAGTGCAAAAAGAAAATGTTCTTCTCTCCTTATTTTCAGCTAGCTTTAATGTAATATAATTGACATAGAACAAACTGTACATATTTCAAGTGTAAAATTTGATACATTTTGACCTATGTATAACCCTTAAAACCAATAAAACAATCATGATAATGAATGTAACTATTAGCCTCAAAATTTCTCTTGTGTACATTTTTTTCTTTCTGCTTCTCCTCTTCATCCACTCCTCCAGCTCCAGGCAACCACCAATCTTCTTTCTGTCACACGAATTTGTTTGGACATCCAGGAGTTTTATATAAATGGTATGCAGTGCGTGCATTTTTCTGTCTGACTTTCTCAGCCTAATTAGTCTAAGGTTTATCTATGCTGTTGTGTGTAACAATATTTTATTCCTTTGTATTCAGAGCATTTCATTTTTCCTTTTAAATAACAGTATTTTTAATTGAAATATCAAAAAAAAATTATGAATTTGAGAAATTCCTGTCCTAATATGAGACAAACGAAATATTCTGCATTTATTAGGGAAATATTAAAACCTTAGAAAAGAAAAATTCAAAAATGAAATAAATATAAATCTGTCAAAACACATACATTTGATGTTTGTAATAGTTTTCTAGGGCTGCTGTAGCAAAGTATCACTTAGTTTGTGATACTTTGTTACAGCATTTCATTTTATGGATGCACCACTGATTCTTTCTTTATCTATTCCTGTTAAGATGTTACATTCGAATCAGTCATGTATGAAAGCTCCATTTGCTGCACATTCTCACTGATCCTTGGATAAGTTCAGTCTTTTGAATCTTAGACATTTTGGTGGGCGTTTTGGTGTTTTATTGTGGTTTTAACTCATAGTTCTCTAATAAAAACTGATGTTGAGCTCTTGTCATGTGATTGTTTTCTATTTATACATTTTTGGTGACATATCTATTCAACAATCTGGCCTATTTTAAAAAAACTTGTTCTAAGCCTAAAGTTGAATTCTAAGAGGTCTTTGTATACTCTTAGTTAGATCTTCTTTGTCAACTATTTGTTCTGCGAATACTTTCCACCAGTCTGTAGCTTGTCTTTTTTATTATACTAAGAGGGTCTTTTAAAGAGCAAGATTCTAATTTTAATAAAGACCGATCTATTTACTTATTTTTTTTTTTAGTTTGTATTTAAGGATTTTTGTCAAGTCAGTCAATTGTCACTTAAAATTTCACCTATGATTTCTTCTAGAAATTCTATAGGTTTAGTTTTTACATTAGTTCTATGATCCATGTTTATTTAATTATTGTATACGGTGTCAGGTAAAGGCCGAGGTTCATTTATTTTGGATCAGCATAATTTTTTACAATATAGTATAATTTGCATTGACACCTTCATCAAAAATTAATTGATCATAGGAACATGAATATTTCTGGACTCTTTATTCTTTTGATTTATATACCTGTCTTTACTCTAATATTACGTTGCCTTGATTACTATAACTTTATGTCGTGCAACCAGGTTTAGTAGGTTCTTCCTTTTTTTATTATTATTATACTTTAAGTTTTAGGGTACATGTGCACATTGTGCAGGTTAGTTACATATGTATACATGTGCCATGCTGGTGCGCTGCACCCACTAACTCGTCATCTAGCATTAGGTATATCTCCCGATGCTATCCCTCCCCCCTCCCCCCACCCCACAACAGTCCCCAGAGTGTGATATTCCCCTTCCTGTGTCCATGTGATCTCATTGTTCATTTCCCACCTATGAGTGAGAATATGCTGTGTTTGGTTTTTTGTTCTTGCGATAGTTTACTGAGAATGATGATTTCCAATTTCATCCATGTCCCTACAAAGGACATGAACTCATCATTTTTTATGGCTGCACAGTACTCCATGGTGTATATGTGCCACATTTTCTTAATCCAGTCTATCATTGTTGGACATTTGGGTTGGTTCCAAGTCTTTGCTATTGTGAATAGTGCCGCAGTAAACATACGTGTGTATGTGTCTTTATAGCAGCATGATTTATAGTCCTTTGGGTATATACCCAGTAATGGGATGGCTGGGTTAAATGGTATTTCCAGTTCTAGATCCCTGAGGAATCGCCACACTGACTTCAACAATGGTTGAACTAGTTTACAGTCCCACCAACAGTGTAAAAGTGTTCCTATTTCTCCACATCCTCTCCAGCACCTGTTGTTTCCTGACTTTTTAATGATTGCCATTCTAACTGGTGTGAGATGGTATCTCATTGCGGTTTTGATTTGCATTTCTCTGATGGCCAGTGATGATGAGCATTTTTTCATGTGTTTTTTGGCTGCATAAATGTCTTCTTATGAGAAGTGTCTGTTCATATCCTTCACCTACTTTTTGATGGGGTTGTTTGTTTTTTTCTTGTAAATTTGTTTGAGTTCATTGTAGATTCTGGATATTAGCCCTTTGTCAGATGAGTAGGTTGCAAAAATTTTCTCCCATTTTGTAGGTTGCCTGTTCACTCTGATGGTAGTTTCTTTTGCTGTGCAGAAGCTCTTTAGTTTAATTAGATCCCATTTGTCAATTTTGGCTTTTGTTGCCATTGCTTTTGGTGTTTTAGACATGAAGTCTTTGCCCATGCCTATGTCCTGAATGGTAATGCCTAGGTTTTCTTCTAGGGTTTTTATGGTTTTAGGTCTAATGTTTAAGTCTTTAATCCATCTTGAATTGATTTTTGTATAAGGTGTAAGGAAGGGATCCAGTTTCAGCTTTCTACATATGGCTAGCCAGTTTTCCCAGCAGCATTTATTAAATAGGGAATCCTTTCCCCATTGCTTGTTTTTCTCAGGTTTGTCAAAGATCAGATGGTTGTAGATATGTGGTGTTATTTCTGAGGGCTCTGTTCTGTTCCATTGATCTATATCTCTGTTTTGGTACCAGTACCATGCTGTTTTGGTTACTGTAGCCTTGTAGTATAGTTTGAAGTCAGGTAGTGTGATGCCTCCAGCTTTGTTCTTTTGGCTTAGGATTGACTTGGCGATGCGGGCTCTTTTTTGGTTCCATATGAACTTTAAAGTAGTTTTTTCCAATTCTGTGAAGAAAGTCATTGGTAGCTTGATGGGGATGGCATTGAATCTGTAAATTACCTAGGGCAGTATGGCCATTTTCACGATATTGATTCTTCCTACCCATGAGCATGGAATGTTCTTCCATTTGTTTGTATCCTCTTTTATTTCCTTGAGCAGTGGTTTGTAGTTCTCCTTGAAGAGGTCCTTCACATCCCTTGTAAGTTGGATTCCTAGGTATTTTATTCTCTTTGAAGCAATTGTGAATGGGAGTTCACTCATGATTTGGCTCTCTGTTTGTCTGTTGTTGGTGTATATGAATGCTTGTGATTTTTGTACATTGATTTTGTATCATGAGACTTTGCTGAAGTTGCTTATCAGCTTAAGGAGATTTTGGGCTGAGACGATGGGGTTTTCTAGATATACAATCATGTCGTCTGCAAACAGGGACCATTTGACTTCCTCTTTTCCTAATTGAATACCCTTTATTTCCTTCTCCTGCCTAATTGCCCTGGCCAGAACTTCCAACACTATGTTGAATAGGAGTGGTGAGAGAGGGCATCCCTGTCTTGTGCCAGTTTTCAAAGGGAATGCTTCTAGTTTTTGCCCATTCAGTATGATATTGGCTGTGGGTTTGTCATAGATAGCTCTTATTATTTTGAAATACGTCCCATCAATACCTAATTTATTGAGAGTTTTTAGCATGAAGGGTTGTTGAATTTTGTCAAAGGCTTTTTTCTGCATCTATTGAGATAATCATGTGGTTTTTGTCTTTGGCTCTGCTTATAAACTGGATTACATTTATTGATTTGCATATATTGAACCAGCCCTGCATCCCAGGGATGAAGCCCACTTGATCATGGTGGATAAGCTTTTTGATGGGCTGCTGGATTTGTTTTGCCAGTATTTTATTGAGGATTTTTGCATCAATGTTCATCAAGGATATTGGTCTAAAATTCTCTTTTTTTGTTGTGTCTCTACCTGGCTTTGGTATCAGAATGATGTTGGCCTCATAAAATGAGTTAGGGAGGATTCCCTCTTTTTCTATTGATTGGAATAGTTTCAGAAGGAATGGTACCATTTCCTCCTTGTACCTCTGGTAGAATTCGGCTGTGAATCCATCTGGTCCTGGACTCTTTTTGGTTGGTAAGCTATTGATTATTGCCACAATTTCAGCTCCTGTTATTGGTCTATTCAGAGATTCAACTTCTTCCTGGTTTAGTCTTGGGAGAGTGTATGTGTCCAGGAATTTATCCGTTTCTTCTAGATTTTCTAGTTTATTTGCGTAGAGGTGTTTGTAGTATTCTCTGATGGTAGTTTGTATTTCTGTGGGATCGGTGGTGATATCCCCTTTATCATTTTTTATTGCGTCTATTTGATTCTTCTCTCTTTTTTTCTTTATTAGTCTTGCTAGCGGTCTATCAATCTTGTTGATCCTTTCAAAAAACCAGCTCCTGGATTCATTGATTTTTTGAAGGGTTTTTTGTGTCTCTATTTCCTTCAGTTCTGCTCTGATTTTAGTTATTTCTTGCCTTCTGCTAGCTTTTGAATGTGTTTGCTCTTGCTTTTCTAGTTCTTTTAATTGTGATGTTAGGGTGTCAATTTTGGATCTTTCCTGCTTTCTCTTGTGGGCATTTAGTGCTATAAATTTCCCTCTACACACTGCTTTGAATGTGTCCCAGAGATTCTGGTATGTTGTGTCTTTGTTCTCGTTGGTTTCAAAGAACATCTTTATTTCTGCCTTCATTTCGTTATGTACCCAGTAGTCATTCAGGAGCAGGTTGTTCAGTTTCCATGTAGTTGAGTGGTTTTGAGTGAGATTCTTAATCCTGAGTTCTAGTTTGATTGCACTGTGGTCTGAGAGATAGTTTGTTATAATTTCTGTTCTTTTCCATTTGCTGAGGAGAGCTTTACTTCCAACTATGTGGTCAATTTTGGAATAGGTGTGGTGTGGTGCTGAAAAAAATGTACATTCTGTTGATTTGTGGTGGAGAGTTCTGTAGATGTCTATTAGGTCTGCTTGGTGCAGAGCTGAGTTCAATTCCTGTGTATCCTTGTTGACTTTCTGTCTCGTTGATCTGTCTAATGTTGACAGTGGGGTGTTAAAGTCTCCCATGATTATTGTGTGGGAGTCTAAGTCTCTTTATAGGTCACTCAGGACTTGCTTTATGAATCTGGGTGCTCCTGTATTGGGTGCATATATATTTAGGACAGTTAGCTCTTCTTGCTGAATTGATCCCTTTACCATTATGTAATGGCCTTCTTTGTCTCTTTTGATCTTTGTTGGTTTAAAGTCTGTTTTATCAGAGACTAGGATGGCAACCCCTGCCTTTTTTTGTTTTCCCTTTGCTTGGTAGATCTTCCTCCATCCTTTTATTTTGAGCCTATGTGTGTCTCTGCACGTGAGATGGGTTTCCTGAATACAGCACACTGATTGGTCTTGACTCTTTATCCAATTTGCCAGTCTGTGTCTTTTAATTGGAGCATTTAGTCCATTTACATTTAAAGTTAATATTGTTATGTGTGAATTTGATCCTGTCATTATGATGTTAGCTGGTTATTTTGCTCGTTAGTTGATGCAGTTTCTTCCTAGTCTCGATGGTCTTTACATTTTGGCATGATTTTGCAGCGGCTGGTACCGGTTGTTCCTTTCCATGTTTAGTGCTTCCTTCAGGAGCTCTTTTAGGGCAGGCCTGGTGGTGACAAAATCTCTCAGCATTTGCTTGTCTGTAAAGTATTTTATTTCTCCTTCACTTATGAAGCTTAGTTTGGCTGGATATGCAATTCTGGGTTGAAAATTCTTTTCTTTAAGAATGTTGAATATTGGCCCCCACTCTCTTCTGGCTTGTAGGGTTTCTGCCGAGAGATCCGCTGTTAGTCTGATGGGCTTCCCTTTGAGGGTAACCCGACCTTTCTCTCTGGCTGCCCTTAACATTTTTTCCTTCATTTCAACTTCGGTGAATCTGACAATTATGTGTCTTGGAGTTGCTCTTCTCGAGGAGTATCTTTGTGGCATTCTCTGTATTTCCTGAATCTGAACGTTGGCCTGCCTTGCTAGATTGGGGAAGTTCTCCTGGATAATATCCTGCAGAGTGTTTTCCAACTTGGTTCCATTCTCCCCATCACTTTCAGGTACACCAATCAGATGTAGATTTCGTCTTTTCACATAGTCCCATATTTCTTGGAGGCTTTGCTCATTTCTTTTTATTCTTTTTTCTCTAAACTTCCCTTCTTGCTTCATTTCATTCATTTCATCTTCCATTGCTGATACCCTTTCTTCCAGTTGATCGCATCGGCTCCTGAGGCTTCTGCATTCTTCACGTAGTTCTCGAGCCTTGGTTTTCAGCTCCATCAGCTCCTTTAAGCACTTCTCCATATTGGTAATTCTAGTTATACATTCTTCTAAATTTTTTTCAAAGTTTTCAACTTCTTTGCCTTTGGTTTGAATGTCCTCCCGTAGCTCAGAGTAATTTGATTGTCTGAAGCCTTCTTCTCTCAGCTCATCAAAGTCATTCTCCATCCAGCTTTGTTCCATTGCTGGTGAGGAACTGCGTTCCTTTGGAGGAGGAGAGGCGCTCTGCTTTTTAGAGTTTCCAGTTTTTCTGTTCTGTTTTTTCCCCATCTTTGTGGTTTTATCTACTTTTGGTCTTTGATGATGGTGATGTACAGATGGGTTTTTGGTGTGGATGTCCTTTCTGTTTGTTAGTTTTCCTTCTAACAGAGATGACCCTCAGCTGCAGGTCTGTTGGAGTACCCTGCCGTGTGAGGTGTCAGTGTGCCCCTGCTGGGGGGTGCCTCCCAGTTAGGCTGCTCAGGGGTCAGAGGTCAGGGACCCACTTGAGGAGGCTGTCTGCCCGTACTCAGACCTCCAGCTGCGTGCTGGGAGAACCACCTCTCTCTTCAAAGCTGTCAGACAGGGACATTTAAGTCTGCAGAGGTTACTGCTGTCTTTTTGTTTGTCTGTGCCCTGCCCCCAGAGGTGGAGCCTACAGAGGCAGGCAGGCCTCCTTGAGCTGTGGTGGGCTCCACCCAGTTCGAGCTTCCCGGCTGCTTTGTGTACCTAATCAAGCCTGGGCAATGGCGGGTGCCCCTCCCCCAGCCTCGCTGCCACCTTGCAGTTTGATCTCAGACTGCTGTGCTATCAATCAGGGAGACTCCGTGGGCGTAGGACCCTCCAAGCCAGGTGCAGGATATAATCTCATGGTGCACCGTTTTTTAAGCCCGTCGGAAAAGCTCAGTATTCGGGTGGGAGTGACCTGATTTTCCAGGTGCCCTCCGTCACCCCTTTCTTTGACTCAGAAAGGGAACTCCCTGACCCCTTGTGCTTCCCAAGTGAGGCAATGCCTTGCTCTGCTTCGGCTCGCACACGGTGCGCGCACCCACTGACCTGCGCCCACTGTCTGGCACTCCCTAGTGAGATGAACCCGGTATCTCAGATGGAAATGCAGAAATCACCGTCTTCTGCATCGCTCACGCTGGGAGCTGTAGACCGGAGCTGTTCCTATTCGGCCATCTTGGCTCCTCAGTAGATTCTTCCTTTTTTCTTCTTTTTCAAAGTTGTTTTTGGTGTTTTATATTATTTGCATATCTGTATTAAATTTAGCCTTAACTGATTTATTTAAAAAGCCTGCCAGGATTTTAATTGAAATTTTATTGAATAGATTGATTTGGTAAGAATTAACATTTTATCAATATAGCATGCATGTTCTGATTCATGAATATCGTATATTACTCTATTCATTTAGAGCTTCTTGAATTTCTCTCAGGAATGGCTTGTGGTTTTACATGTGAAGCTCTTCTGTATGTTTGCAGAATTAATCATTCATTACTTCAGGTTTTTGGAGCCATCTGGTTCCTATTACTCCATCTAGGTCAGAAGCAAAAGTTTCCATACAGAGTTTTTAAATTTCCCTAGTGGTCATTACTTTTATTGTTTGCTAGAAATTTTACAAGACTTTTGCATTTTAGAGGCTCTGGTGATTATATTTTCCTTAAAAATATGTTAAATTTCATTCTAGCAGTTAGTTAAATTTCTAACAAGTCAAATTGATCTTGTCAAAATGCTTTTTTTGGCATTATAAAGGAATTTTCTATTTCTGTCTTGTCTTTCTGTCTTGTCTTTACTCCTAGAGTATGGTTCTTACTCTTACAGCATGGACTTTCTTGTTTCTGCTAAACGAGTGTTTTCAATGTTTATTCATGCTTGCTTTGCCTACATTCCAGCATCTCTCTAGCTTTTTTGTGGCTTCTCAGATTGCTTCTCAGCTTTCCAGAGTGCCTCCATGCCCAGGGACAGATTATAAATTAGTCAAATATATAGAAGTTCTCTCTTTAGTTCACTGACCCTTCCCCACCTACAAAAATATGAGATGTCTTCACCTCCTAAATTTTTAATGCTTGACATTTGTCCATCAAGAGTGAAACTGTTTGGGCCTTAATTTCTTGAATTGATGCTTTAAAAAACAATTTCAAAAAGAAAGCCTAGTGAATGCAGTGTTCATTTCTTGAGCTTCTTTTTCATAAAAAAATCATAGCAATAAATCTTAGGATAAATCCAATAAGGCAATAAATAGCAATAAATCCAATGCCTCCAAAAAATGTTGTTTTGTCAGAAAATAAGCTTCTTTGTCTAGGAAAGAACTGAAATATTATTTTTTCTTTAAAAATGCAAATTTATCATTTCTCAGCTCAAAACTCTCATGTTGTCTTCCACTTCTCTTGATAGCATACCAGAAATATCCCGTATTGTCTGATCCCTGCCTGCTTCTTCAACTCTTGTATTTCACCCCTTCCTAACACAGACACATGCATATGCACATGCTGCTCAGTCAAAAGGAATAGTGGAATGAGTTGCTTCCTTATAACTTTTCACATGTCTTATGTTCCATCTGCTTTGAATGCTTTTCCAACAACTATTTGAGAGGTTAATTAAAATTCATCTTTCAGGCTCAATCCTCCCTTTATCATGGACCTCTTTCCTGATCTCCTCTCTGATTAGCTGATTTCTCATTGGTACAGGCTCTCATATCTCCCTTAATTTTTCCTTCAGAGAATTTGTGTTTTGTAATTAGTTTTGCTTGTTGAATATCTTCTTGTTCCCCTCTGAAGTCTGGGAGTGTATCTGCCTTGCAAATACATTACCTACAGGTAATGAGTACAGGCAGAGTCCTCACTTTGCACTGATATGACATGCATAAATATTAGTTATCACCTGTGTTGGTTAATTAACACCAGTCCCGAAACAGTTTAAATATCAGTTACAACTATACATTAACTGACAAATTACAGAAAAGACAAACTTCCCTGCTAATTCTTCAATCTACAAAGCACCCTGTGAATAACAGATGTCTCTGTATTTTCAGTCTGTCAGTGGTTGGTCACTGTGGATCTCTTACTCAGTTCATGTACAGACAGCAAAGCATGCAATTGCGTTGACTTCTTGTCTCTCAGTGATAAGCCCACATGATATTTTACAAAAATACGTAATCGAAAATGAGAGTTGGCCAATAAAAGTGCATCAGAGAAACAAAAAGTGATAATGCTGCAAATAAAATGCAAATTAAACATGAATTTGGAGTTACAAAATAAATAGCTGACAATAAGAATGCTAACATCATTTCCCTTTAATAGATACTAGATATAGAGACGGAGGAACTTAGTTAATGTGCACTTACTGATACAAATGAGAAAAGTGGTTGTTATGAAAAGCTAAAGATTTCCCATAGGAAGCGACACTGGCAAAAATGTTTATATTTAAAAGAACTCTGAGAGAAATTTCCTGGCATAAAAAGTTCAACTGGTAAAATATTGAAAATTGACTCCAACTTAGAAAAGAGTAAGGAAACAACTCACCAAGGCATAGAGAAGATGCTCACTCCTACTGTTTTTGAAAACCAATTAAAAACTAATTACCAATGTTGCTAGAATTTTAAACAACAGTGTGTTAAATAAATACTAATTTTAATTTTTCCATTTTCCTATACATTCATAATGGGTAGTAAAATTTTTTAATGTTTTGACAATTCTAAAGGTCACAGAACAAATCTGGTTTTCCCAATTGATTATTAAGATTTGTTTGCACATTTCAGTTGCAGTTTCATCACGTGCAGTTATTTTTTATGATCCTGTGTTACAGATCAAAGACTAGCTTAGTTAGTTAGCAGTAAGTATTTTATAAAATAGAAGTATTACATTTAAAAGAAAAAGAGAGCACTAAGGAAAGGGAGATCTCTACTTTATAGAAACAACTTTTGCTTACTGCTCAGTTTTGTTTTTTATCCAGTTACCAGATGTCACCTTATTCTGAAGAAGTTTTTAAACAGATTATAGATCATTAGTGGTATTTTATGGTAAATTTGGGACAGTAATGATAGGCTATTAAAATTATGCAGAGAGTAAGATAGTTATCATTTTAACTATACTTGAATATTCTGAATAACTCTAAATGATCTCTGAATCCAAATTTGGAAGTATGCTGTTTTTTGAAGAATTATGCATGAGTTTAAGTTCAGCTTAAAAACTGTTCTATTTATTCAAACTAGCTATCCACTCAATTGACTTTTCTGTATATTTTTGCATTACCTACTTTTTAATCTTTTTTATTTATTTTCTTCTTCTTATTGTTTTAACGTTTACTACAATTCATATAACACAGTTTTCCTCCATTTAAAATTTCACTGAAACACCTACAAAAAATTCAATGAGTCAATGTAGTCAATACATATCCAGCCTCTCTCCTGAGCCAGTCCTATTCAGTAACTTCTAAATCATTGTATTTTTAATATTTTGCAGTTGTCTCCAAAATCAAATTAGATTTAACATAAAATAAACCAATTAAGGATCAGTAAATATGGGTCTAATAAAAAAGTTTCTTTTTCCACATTTTAAAAAAGCAATTTATGAATTTTTAATTTCCTTTTTTGAAATATTTTCTAAAACTGTAAGACTTATCAAAGCCATCCTTAGAATTCTACTCAGCTAGTAATCATATTGATTTAAGTCAAATGTCAGAAATATATATCATGATGGCATTTATAACACTGAAGTCCTGACAAAATGAATCACTGGACAAAAATACACGAAGCAAAAGTTTTCAGTTGTTGCACAACAGGAAGCTTAAGATCCTTCTGATTAGGGAACATAGGAGGTAGGTCCCATATTTGAACTGGCTTTTGGCCTGAAGACCCATTTTAAACTCAAGTTTAATTAGGTAGAGCTTGAGAAGATATGGTAGACTCACTGAGCTGAGGGGGCAGAGATTGGAATTTGGGGATGTTGCAAATCTAGACTTTTCAGGGCAAAATAAAGGAGTGAAATGACCTAAGTGGGGCGTTAAAAGTCTGTACATAAACTTCCTATACATGCTTGGGCAGGGCTGAGTTTTAGGTGTGTAGGACAATAATTTGGAAACCCTAGCAGCATCTAGGGTACCCACTGCTTGTCTGTGATATGTGAAGACATACAGTGCTGAGAAACTTTGTATTGTTAGACAAGATGCACAAGAGACAGTACATTAAACACCTCTGGCATCATCTGAATGCCTTTGAAGTTCATATCTTAAGAGCAATGACCACAGTCTAGACTAATATATACCCTAAGCCTGGGAACAAAACTGAAGTAGATGCAGCCTAACAAAAAAGAAAATTATGCTTCATAAGATTGAAAGCATCACCAGTTACTTTATGGCTGTAAGAAAAGATAATAATACGTGGCTGAGTGTAGTAGCCCATGTCTGTAATCCTAACACTTTGAGAGGCTGAGGTGGGAGGGTTGCATGAGGCCAGAAGTTCATCACCAGCCTGGGCAACATGATGGTACCACCATCTCTAAAAATATAAATAATAATAATAATAATACGCATAAAGGAAGATAATGTTATCTAAACTTCCTACCATGTATATCTACCATTTACAATATGTAATAAAAAATCAATAGACATGTAAAAAAATCAAAAACAAAAACAAAAACCCTGAGAGATATGGCTTATAAAGTAAGTAGAAACATACTCAACTGAAACTGATTGTGAGACAATCCAGGTGTTGAATTATCAAAGAAAGAGTATAAAACATTGTAAATATATTAAAGGATATAGAGAGAATGGCAGATATAGTAATAAAGTATACAGGGAATCTCACCAGATAATTAGGAAATGTAAACAAGAACCCAGTGGAAATTCTGCAACTAAAATGTATAACATATGAAAAAAATGTGTTGTGTGGACACAACAACAGGTTGGAAATTGCAAGGGAAAAAAAGACTACAACACTTGAAGAGATACCAGTAAAAGTTTTCTGAAAATTAGGGAGAAAAACATAAATAAATGAACTGTCTCAATAACGTAGGGTATAAATGGAGTTCCAGAGAGGTCAGCAAGTAAACAGAGAATTTTTTGTTATAATAACAGTTTAAAATTTCTAAAAATTGGTAAAAATATATTAATAAACAGATTCAGAAAGTATAGCAAACTGCCAAACCAATCAATATATAGATGCCTCCCCTACATGTGTAATAATAAAACTAATAAAAAAAAGATAAAGAGAAAATGTTGAAAGCAACAAGAGAATAATGAAGACACTTAAGAAGTAAAAAGATACACATACTAGCTTATTTATCATCAGAACAACAAGGGCCAGATGAAAATAGAACAAAATATTTAAGGATATGGAAAAAAGTCTACCATAATTCTATATTCAGTGGAGCTATACTTCACAAAAGTGGGTGAAACAAAGACTTTTAGGATAATAAAAGGTGATAGAGTGATGTCACCAAGATGGCAGAATAGATGGTAACCCACTCATATCACCCTACAATAGCAAAAAAAAAAAAAAAAAAAAAAAAAAATTCTGCACCCATCCACAGTCAAATGTCTCTCTGCAGGATACTCAGAATTCAGGTAGAAGTTTATTTAACTGGTGGAGCCCAAGGCTTAGGAGGGTCATTTTGAAAGAGCAAAACTATGTCAATTGGCTTATCTGCCCTGCTGCACAGCTCAAAAGTGAATGGACAACATCCTACTTGGAAGGCTGCTACTTTGATCAAATAAGGTAAAAACAGATAAGCTTAATGGGCTGAATTGAATGCTTTTTTTTTTCTAACTGGTCTCCCACTACTATTGTGTGAAAGCCTACATTTTTTTGTAGGTCTCTAAGAACTTGTTTTATGAATCTGGATGCTAGTGTGTTGGATGCATATATATTTAGTATAGTTACGTCTCCTTGTTGAATTGAACCCTTTACCATTATGTTATGCTCTTCTTTGTCTTTTTTGATCTTTGTTGGTTTAAAGTTTGTTTTGTTTGAAGTTAGGATTGTAACCACTGCTTTTTTTTGTTTTCTATTTTATTGGTAGATTTTCCTCTATCCCTTTATTTTGAGCCAATGGGTGTCATTATGTGTGAGATGGGTCTCTTGAAGACAGCATACCATTTGGTCTTTCTTTTTGATTTAGCTTGCCACTCTGCCTTCTAAGTGAGGCATTTAGCCCATTTAGATTAAAGAATAGTATTTTATGTGTGGATTTGATCCGGTCATTGTGTTGTTAGCTGGTTATTATGCTTGCTTGCTTGCATGGTTTCTTTATAGTGTCACTGGTTTGTGTGTTTAAGTGTGCTTTTGTATTAGTGGGTTGTGATTTTTCTAATCTATATTTAGTTCTCCTTTCAAGATCTCTTGTAAGGCAGGTCTAGTGGTAACAAGACCTCAACATTTGCTTATCTGAAAAGGTTTCTATTTCTCGTTTGCTTAGGTAGCTTCATTTGGCTCCATAAAATATTCTTGAATTTTTTTTCTTTAAAAATGTTGAATATAGTTTCCCAATCTCTTCTGACTTCTAGGGTTTCAGCTGAGAAGTCTGCTATTAGCTTGATGCAGTTCACTTTGTAGGTGACCTACTCCTCCTATCTATCTGCCTTTAACACTCTATCTTGCCTGTGTTCTATATTTCCCAAATTTTACTGTTAACCTCTCTAGCAAGGATGGGAAGTTTTCATGGACTATATCCTGAAATATTTTTTCTAAGTTGTTTGCTTTCTCCCCCTCTCTTTCAGGGGTACCAATGATTAATAGATTTCACCTTTTACATAATCCCATGTTTCTCAGACGTTTTGTTCATTCTCTTTCTTTCTTTTTTTTTTGTATGACTGCATTATTTCAGAGAACCAATCTTCAAGTTCTGAGATTCTTCCCTCTCCTTGGTCTATTTTGCTGCTAATAGTTGTGATTGCATTGCAAAGGTAATGTATATATTTTGCAGCTTTGTCAGATCCATTAGTTTCTTTTGATACCAGCCATTTCATCCTTCAGCTCCTGTATCATTTTACTGTGATTCTTAGTTTCCTTGGATTGGGTTTAGCCATTCTCCTAAATCTCAATGACCTTTGTTTCTATTCATATTCTGAGTTCTATTTCTGTCATTTCAATCATCTCAACCTGCTTAAAAACTTTCTTTGGAGAACTGGTACAATCATTTGGAGGACATACAACACTCTGGTTATTTGATTTACCAAAGTTCTTGCATTTGTTCTTTCTCCTCTCTGCATGTGAGTGTTCCTTTAACTGCAATGTAGTTGAGTACACTCAGTCAATCTCTTTTCTGGATGTTTTCACAGGGCTGAGGCTTTGTGCAGAGTCTACTTGGGGGTGACTTCTTGTCTTTGGTTTCATGGCGGGAGAGGGGTATGTTAGCGAGGCATTTTTGATGTCGAAACTTTGGGTTTTGATCTAATACATGGTACTTAGGCATATTGGTTAGTTGGTGGACTTTTGCTCAGTTGTGTGGCTTCCCTTTGTTTTCTCACTGTGTCAGCCACGTTTCCTCTCAATGCTCTGAAAGTGTGGGCTCCTCTCCACCTTGAATTCTGGCTGTTGATTGTGGCTTGGCACTCCTGGGCTGCCCACTGCAGCTCTGGGGAGATTACAGGGTTCATGTTTCTTCCTGAACTTGGAGGCAGCAGAGGAAGGGACCTTAGTAGTGGTTGTGGCCAAGGGTTATTTACTTATCTCCTGAGGGCTCCTCCCCAAAGAGATGCAGCCAGCAATCACTCAGTTCAGTCAGCCCAGGATGGAGGGTCTGTGCTGTGGGCCCAAGCCAGGGGTTCCCTGTCTGGTGATGATCAGGGTGGGTGGGTGGGACCTGTGGAAGACAGACTGGCCTTCTTTCCTTGGGTTGATGGCAGCTTGTTGGAGGTGTGGATAAGGCACTTAGGGTCTTTGCTCCTTTGTTAGTTCAAAGGTGGCAATGGCAGTTCCACTGTAAAGGCAGTGGCAGAGAGGCTTTCAGTTGCCCCTGGGGGTTCCGTCCGGGGAATTGAAAAGCTGCTACTGGCTCAATAGCCCCAGATAGGGGGATGACTGGAGGCCCAGGCCTGGAGGATCTGTCCATTGAGGAAATATGGGAACACGCACCCACAGTCTAACCATTTTTCTGTAGGACTGCTGCAGTATGCTGGGGGTCACTCCAGTCCCTAGTCACCTCAGATTTTCCAGTACCTAGAGGTATCAACAGTGAAGGCTATGAAACAGCAAAGACGGAAGCCTACTCTACTTTCTGGGATCTTTATCCTAGGGAGATACAGACCTGTTTCCTGCGCAAATGCACCTGTAGGTGGTGGCTGGAGACCCGGGTTGGGAGGTTCCTCCCAATGAGGAAAAACGAGATTGTGGACCTGCTTTAAACAACAGTCTGACCACATTTTCATAGAGCAGCTGTGCTGTGCTTTGCTGAGTATCTGCTCCAGCCCCTGGTCACCTTGGAGTCCCAAAAGCCTGAAGGTTGGGACAGCTAAGTCACCCAAACAGGAAAGACGGCAGTCCATCCCTCCCTCTGGGAGCTTTGCCCAGGGAGATTTGAAACCTTTGTCAACTAGTGAATACCGACAGGGATATCTGGAGACCCCACTTGAAAGGTCCCACTGAGTGGGAAGAAATAGGATCAGAGACCACTTAAAAAAAGCAGTCTGGCAACATTTCTGTAGACCATCTGTGCTATGCTGGGGGTCTGCTTCAGTCCCCGGTCACCTGACATGAATGAGACTAAAGGAGCAGCCCCCCTCGATGTTTTTTCTGCTTTTCTTGTTGATCCGGAGAAGGGATGGGGAGGATGGTGGTATGACTATGCAATTATACAATTTTTGCCAAGGGAGGAATACACTGCTATAACAACTATATATATTTTTACTTTCTTCCACAAATTACCTCAAAAAAAATCTTTTTTTTTCTTCCTTGCCTAATGCAGTGGTCCTAGGACCAGGACTGAAACTACAAGTACTGGAAGTAGAGATGATTTTTAAGCAAAATATGTCACTATATTTTTAAACTTAGTCAAAATTCCTAAAGGTCTGATGGAGGTACATGGTGCCTTTACCCCACCTAGCAAAATTGGGGTTAAGAATAAGTACTGCCATATTGTCTAGTGATAAAAATAGCTCACTAGTTTGGAACCTATGTAACTCTTCCTTATGTAAATGGGAATGGACTGAGTGGGAGACACTTGCTAGACTAGTATTGCTGCCAGCAATCTGGACCATCACAGTGGCCAAACCTCATGTCCCTTCTGAAAGTGGAAAAGTTTAGGTAAAAATAAATGACAAATGGAACAAAAAGGAGGAATAATAGCCAAGGGTAAAGAAATGAATAAATGGCTTATAAAATGAGGGTAATTCACTATTACATTAACAACTCTAAGAAATCTCACAGAAAGAGATGAAATTGTTGCTTAGCTCAATTATTCCAGATGCCTAAAGGGTGAAGCTATATATTTGCTGAGACCACTCCTACTTTTGGAACCTGACAAGGTAGAAAGAAGGGCTACAAACCTGAGAGCCTCAGCCTGGGAGAAACTCATACAGTATGATGAACTGGACTAATTATTAATAATTGTTTATCTTTGTTTTGCTGTTATAGACCCATGGTTGAAAACCAAGGGGTGGCGTGTGGCACTATGATATGTATTGGTTTTTGTCCATAGTTTCTCATTCATAATTCTCATAACCCTTGTTACAATCTTTTACTATAATGTTGAATATGTTAAGCCTCAGGCACAGGCCTTGGGCTACAGAATCTCTTTTGTGCTTTTTTCACCTGCCCCAAGACAGCACCCTAATCTTCTCCTCTCTTTCTTTTTTAGTTAGTTCATTTTTTTTGTTTGTTTTTTGAGATGCAGTTTCACTCTGTTGCCGAGGCTGGAGTGCGGTGGCATGATCTCAGCTCACTGCAACCTCCGCCTGCCTGGTTCAAGAGATTCTCCTGCCTCAGCCTCCCAAGTAGCTGAGATAACAGGGGTCCACCACCATGCCTGGCTAATTTTTGTATTTTTAGTAGAGATAGGTTTTCACCATGTTGGCCAGGCTGGTTTTGACTCTCAGCCTTAGGTAATCAGCCTGTCTCAGCCTCCTAAAGTGCTGGGATTATAGGCATGAGCGACTGCACCTGCCTTCCCTCCTCTTTCTGAATGTAGGTCTTAAGACCCTCCCCGGAGAGGGTCCCACTCTATATAACCGGTTTAAAAAAAATGCTAACATCATGAAACTTCCACAAAAACCCAAGAGGTCTGGGTTTAGAGAGCTTCCAGATAGCTGAACACATGGAGATTCCTGGAGGATGAGATGGCACACCTGGAGAAAGCATGGCAACTCCACACCCCCTCCCCCATAACTCGCTGTATGCAACTCTTCATTTATATCCTTGGTAATATCTTTTACAATAAATCAACAAACATAAGTTAAATGTTTCCCTGAGTTCTCTGAGCTGCTCCTACAAATTAATTGAACTCAAAGAAGGGGTTGTAGGAATCCCAACTTGAACCAGGTAGGTCAGAAGTTCAGGAGGCCTAGACATGAGACTGATGTCTGAAGGGAAGTCTTGGGGTCTTAATCCTTCAAGTGGTGTGTGGGGACAAACTGTCATATTTTTGGTCACAGAAGTCTTCTTCTTTGTTGATGGTTGTTGTGGTGGTGTGAGAGAAGAGAAAAAAAGCAGTTAGAGAGTTTTTCCCTAAACAGAGACTGACTCCCATCTCATAGCCTGGGGGTCTGAGCTTCCTTTATGGACTTGCCAACCTCTATCCCACAGTAGATCTTAAAAAAGACGAGTTTCAACTTTGACCCCTCTTGCTGCAGGTGAGGAACAATCCCATATGTGTTGGGATCTGCTGGGATATGTGTCTATCTGGGTAAACAACGCAAGCTATTCAGCCTGTTACACAGGAGATCTTAAGTGGACTCAGTGACATCTCTGACTCCTTCTACTGTAATTAGTAAACTATTCCATCTGTGCAGGGACTTGCTTGGTGATGTGTGCCCCTCTGAGCCAATGAAAACAGGCTATCCAGCCTCCATCCTACAGCAGATGCTTAAGGGATCCAGTCCCAGTTTCAGCCCCTCCTGCTGCAGTCAAGAAACTATTATATTTGTGCAGGAACTTGTTGGGTTATGCACACCCCTCTGAGCCTAGACAGAGCTCTTCGGACTCTGTCTCACAGCTGATTCAGGGCAGACCCAGTCTTAGCTTCAGCCCCTCCTGCTGCAGTCAGAAAACTCTTACCTGTGCAGAGATCTGCTGGCAGACACACACCACTCTGAGCCAACAAGATGGGCTCATTAAACTCTTTCCCACAGAAGATTCCAAAGGGGTCCAGTCTCAACTCTAGCCCCTTTTTGTTGCAGGTGGGAACTCATCACACCTGTGCAGGAGTCTGCTGAGAGGAATAACTGTAAGGGCCACTGGGCAAGTCTTCTGGACTCAGGTCCCTGGTCAGCATTCCCAAATACATCCACTAACCATCCCCAAATCTTCTGCAGGTCCATCTGGGCAGAAAGCTGCATCAGTCTCTGGGACCTCATGAGACTCACAGCAAGCCTGAGCTTAAAGCATCTTCTATTGCTGAGATGGCTATAGTGGATACGAACTTAAGGAATACAATTGTCAGTTGGTATAAAATCCCTGGAAGGCCCTCTGAAGAAGCATAGACATAAGGAAAGCCAGACTGCAAAAACTAAAATAAATACCTAATGATGTGCTGTCGTCTCACTTCTACAAACAACAAGAACATTCAGGGAAATATGACCTCACTGAATGGAAAAAAGTAAGGCACCAGAAATTGATGCAAAAGTGATGGACGTGTATTATCTCTTAGACAAATAATTCAAAAGTGCGGTTTTAAGGAAGCTCAGCAAACCTCAATAAAACAGAGAGGCTCAATTCATAAATTTATCAGATAAATTTAACAGATTTAAATAATAATAAAAAATTAAACAGAAATCTTGGAGTTGAAAAATAAAATGAGGGAAATAAAAAATGTGAAAGAGAGCATTAACAGCAGAATTACTCAGAGGGAAGAATCAATGTGCTTGAAGATAGACTTTTGGAAAATATACAATCAAAAAAGAATAAAATATTAAACAAAGCTAATGGGACTTATGGGGCAGTATCAAAAGAGCAAATATTTAGGTTATTAGAATAAAAGAGAGAACTTAAAAAGTTAAAGGACTAGAAAACTTATTCAAATAAATAATAACATAAAAAATTACCAAACCTGAAGGAAGAAATACATGCAAGTGCAAAAAGGTCAAAAGTCATCAGTCCAATTCAACCCAAATGAAAATACCTGAAGACACATTATAATCAAACACTCGAAGTTCAAAGATAGGGAAAAGATTCTAAAAGCAGAAAGATAGGAGAAAACAAGATATAAAGAGTTCCAATACACCTGGCAGTACACTTTCAGCAGAAACATAACAGGCCGGGAGGGCGTGGTGTGATATATGTAGAATACTAAAGAAAAATATAGTCAACTAAGAATACTGTACCCAGCAAAATTATTCTTCAGAAATGACTTTCCCAAACAAACAAAAGCTGAGGAAATTCATTTCTACCAGACCTATTCTAAAAGAAATGCTAAAAAAGTTTTGCAAACTAAAAGAAAAGGATGCTAATGTAACTGTCACACTAATATTGTAATTATTAGTGTGACAATTGGGTTTAAGGCACTTATATATTTAGTAAGAAAAATAAAAACCAAAACTCTTAAAAATAATAACTACAATAATTTTTTTAAGAGATAAGCAATACAAAAATGTATATTGTGACACCAAAAAATTCAAAATGTGGAGGGAGAAGGGAGTTAATGTGTTAGGTATTTTTTTGGTTTGTTTCTTTTATTTTATTCAAAGTGAAGTTATATCAGTTTTCAATAATTGTTATAGCTACAAGTTATATCTTGTAAGCATTGTGGTGGCCATAAAGCAAAACCTAAAAGATACATGAAAAATAAAAAGCAATGAATTAAAACATGCCACTAGAGAAAAATCAAGTAACTACAAAAGCAGTAAGAAAACAAGAAAGAAAGAGAGGAGTTATACAAGTACAAACAAAATGTATAAAGTAAGGCCTTAACTATGATAGTAACCAATGAAAGTAAATGAACCAAACTATCCAATTAAAAAAAAGCAAATTGGATGGATTAAAAAACAAGACCCAAATATATGCTAACTATGAGGAACTCACTCCACCTATAAAGACACATGTAGACTTACAGTGAAAAGATGAAAAATATATTCCATGAAAATAAAAAAGAAAAATGAATAGGAGGAGCTATGCTTAATTAGACCTTAACTCAAAAACCATAAAAAGACACAAAGAAAGATTATACAGTAATAAAGGAGTCAATTTAGCAAGATGATATAACAATATTAAATGTATATTTATCCTACATCAGAGCATGCAAATATACAAACCAAATATTAATATATCTAAAGGGAGAGAAGGACTGCAATACCAGTAGAGGGATTCAATAGCCCACTTTAAGCAGTGGACAGATCGTTCAGGCAGAAATTCAACAAGGAAACATCAGAGTTAGAATATAATGTAGACCAAATGAATGTAACCCACGTTTGTCTGACTGCTGCAGAAAACACAATCTTCTCATTAGCATGTGCAACATTCTGCAAAACAGACAATATGTTAGGCCACAAAACAGGTGTCAACAATTTCAAAAAAATCAAAAGTATTTCAGGTAACTTTTCTGACCACAAGAGACTAAAACTAGATATTAATAACAAAAAGAACTTTAAAAACTGTACAAATGCATGAAAATTAAACAACATGCTCTCGAATGACCAATGCATCAATGAAGAAATTAGGAAGGAAATTTGAAAAAATTTTGAAACACATGAAAACAGAAACACAATATATCAGAACTTACAGGATGCAGCAAAAGCAGTACTAAGAGAAAAGTTTATAGCAAATAACTTACATCAAAAAAATAGAAATACTCCAAATAAACAACCTAAAAATGCACTTTAAGAAACTAGAAAAGCAAGAACAAACTAAACCTAAAATTAGTGAATAAAAGAAATAAAAAGATCAGAATAGAAATAACTGAAATTAATACTAAATAAAGCAATACAAAAGCTCAACCTAATAAAAAGTATTTTTTTAAAAAAACAAACAAAACTAACAAAGCATAAGATAGACTATCAAGAGAGAAAGAGAGAAGAGAGAAGAGCCAAATAAATAAAATTAAAGATGAAAAAGAACACATTACAACTGATATCACAGAAATACAAAGAATCATTAGAGTCTAGTCTGAACAGTGATCTGCCAACATATTGGAAAAAAAACCCTAAAATAATTTGACATATTTTTTGTCACTTATAAACTACCAAGATTGAACAATAATAAAATAGAAAAGCCTAACAGACCAAAGAACAGTAATGAGATCAAAGCAATAACAAAAAGTCTTCTTTATTTTATTTTATTATTATTATACTTTAAGTTTTAGGGTACATGTGCACAATGTGCAGGTTAGTTACATATGTATACATGTGCCATGCTGGCGTGCTGCACCCATTAACTCGTCATTTAGCATTAGGTATATCTCCTAATGCTATCCCTCCCCGCTCCCCCGACCCCACAACAGTCCCCAGAGTGTGATGTTCCCCTTTCTGTGTCCATGTGTTCTCATTGTTCAATTCCCACCTATGAGTGAGAACATGTGGTGTTTGGTTTTTGTCCTTACGATAGTTTACTGAGAATGATGATTTGCAATTTCATCCATGTCCCTACAAAGGACAAGAACTCATCATTTTTTATGGCTGCATAGTATTCCATGGTGTATATATGCCACATTTTCTTAATCCAGTCTATCATTGTTGGACATTTGGGTTGGTTCCAAGTCTTTGCTATTGTGAATAGTGCCGCAATAAACATACGTGTGCATGTGTCTTTATAGCAGCATGATTTATAGTCCTTTGGGTATATACCCAGTAATGGGATGGCTGGGTCAAATGGTATTTCTAGTTCTAGATCCCTGAGGAATCGCCACACTGACTTCCACAATGGTTGAACTAGTTTACAGTCCCACCAACAGTGTAAAAGTGTTCCTATTTCTCCACATCCTCTCCAGCACCTGTTGTTTCCTGACTTTTTAATGATTGCCATTCCTAGAAGAAAGCCTAGGCATTACCATTCAGGACATAGGCATGGGCAAGGACTTCATGTCTAAAACACCAAAAGCAATGGCAACAAAAGCCAAAATTGACAAATGGGATCTAATTAAACTAAAGAGTTTCTGCACAGCAAAAGAAACTACCATCAGAGTGAACAGGCAACCTACAAAATGGGAGAAAATTTTCACAACCTCTGACAAACGGCTAATATCCAGAATCTACAATGAACTCAAACAAATTTACAAGAAAAAAACAAACAACCCCATCAAAAAGTGAGCGAAGGACATGAGCAGACACTTCTCAAAAGAAGACACTTATGCAGCCTAAAAACACATGAAAAAATGCTCACCATCACTGGCCATCAGAGAAATGCAAGTCAAAATCACAATGAGATAAAAAAAAATTTCTATCAAAGAAAAACCCAGGACCTGATGGATTCACTGCAGAATTCTATCAAATATTTTTAAAAAATCAATACCAATTCTACTCAAACTACTTTTAACAAATTAAAGAAGCAGGAATACTTCCAAACGTATTCTATGTGGCCAGTATTACCCTGATACCAAAATCTGACAATGACACAATGACAAAAAGAAAACTACAGCCCAATATCCCTGATGAACATAGTTGCAAAAATTCTCAAAAAATACTAGCAAACAACACATTGAAAATATAATTCAACATGATCAAGTGGAATTCATCCCTGGAATATAAGGAGGGTTCTACATACACAAATCAATAAATGTCAGGCACCACATTAACAACAACACAAATAGGACAAAAATCATATTGCATTTCAATAGATGTTGAAAAAGCTTTCAACAACATTTAACATCCTTTCATGATAAGAAGCCATTAACAAACTGAGTACAGAAGGAACTTACATCAAGAGATTAAAAGTAATATATAACAAGAACACAGCTAATATCATACTGAATGAGGAGAAACTGAAAGCCTTTTCACTAAGATCTGTAACAAGACAAGGATTTCCACTTTCATCACTTTTATTCAACATAATACTAAAAGCCCTAGCCAGGGCAGTTAGGCAAGGGAAAAAAATAAAGGGCATTCAAAATGAAAATAAAGGATAATTTGTCTTAATTATTCCTGTTTGCAGACAACATGATCTTATATACAGAAAAACTTAGAGACGTCACCAAAAAAACCATAACTGATAAATGAATTTAGTAATGTTATAGGATACAGAATCACCATACAAAAATAATTAGCATTTCTATATGCTAACAGAAATCAAGTGAAAATGAAATAAAAAAGTAATCTCATTAATAAATTTTAAAATCCCTAGAAATTAATTTAATTGGAGACATGAAAGATTTCTACAAAGAAAGCTGTAAAACGTCAATGAAAGAAATTGAAAAGAACACAAGAAAGTTAAAAGTTATCCCATGTTCATAAGTTGAAAGGATTAATATAGTTAAAATAACCATACCACCCAAAGTTTTCTACATATTTAATGTAATACTTATCAAAATACCAATGACATTCTTAACAGAAATAGAAAAGCAACGCTAAGATTGGTATAAAATCACAAAATATCCTAAATAGCTAAAGCAATCCTGAGCAAAAGGAACAAAGCTGGAGGCATTCCACTACTGGATTTCACATTATACTGCAAAGTCACGTTAGCTAAAACAGCATGGCACTGGCATAAAAACAGACACATAGACAAATGGAACAGAATAGAGTACCTGAATAGAAATAAATTGATGCATTTAGAGCCAACTCATTTTTGACAAAGGTGTCCATAACATACATCAGGGAAAGGACAGTCTCTTTAATAAATGGTGTTGAGAAAACTGGATTTCCTATGCAGAAGAGTGAAACCAGATCTCTATCTTTCACTATATACAAAAATCAACTCAAAATGGATCAATGACTTAAATGTAAGACCTGAAACCATGAAACTACTAGAAGAAAAGATTTGAAAAATGCTACAGAACATTGGTCTGACAAAAGATTTTGGGTAAGACCACAAAAGCACAGATAACCAAAAGAAAAATAGACAAATGGTATTATATCAACCTAAAAAAAGTTTTACACAGTAAATAAATTAATTAACAAAATGAAGAGACAACCAACACATGGGAAAAAATTTGCAAACTATTTATCTGACAGGGGATTAATAACCATAATACATAAGGTATTCTAACAATTCAATAGCAAGAAAACATATACTTCAATTAAAAAATGAACAAAAGACATGAATAGACATTTCTCACAAGGAGGCATACACATGGCCAACAGGTATATGAAAAAATGTTCAACATCACTGTTCATCAGATTAATGCAAATCAAATTGACAATGAGATATCTCGCCCCAGTTAGAACAGTTAGAATGGCTATTGTCAACAGCAACAGCAACAACAACAAAGACAACAACAACAACAAAATAACAAGTTCTGGCAAGGAGGCTGAAAAAGGAGAATGCTTGTACACTGTTATTAGGAATGTAAAGTAGTGTAGCCATTACAGACAACCGTCAGGAGGTTTCTCAAAAAAACTAAAAATAGAACTACTATATAACCCAGCCATATATATCAAGAAGAAAGAAATCAGTATATCAAAGAGATATCTGCATTCCCATTTATTGCAGCAGTACTCACAATAGCCAAGATATGGAATAAACTAAGTACCAGATGGATGGATAAAGAAAAGCTGATATATATGCACGGCGGAATACTATTCAGCCATAAAAAATGAAGTATTGTCATTTGTACCAACATAAATGGAACTGAAGGTCACTATGTTAAGTGAAAACATTAAAGCACAGAAAGACAAATATCACCTGTTTTCACTCGTACATGGGAGGTAAAAATGTGGATTTCATGGAAGTGGGGAGTAAAATAGTAATTAGCTGAGGCTGGGAAGAGAAGTGGGGGTAGGATGAATAAAAGTTGGTTAATGGGTATAGAATATGGGTTGATAGAAAAAATACTGTGCTAGTATTTAATAGCACAGTAGGAAAATTATAGTTAACAGTAACTTATTATATATTCCAAAATAGCTAGAAGAGGATTGTAATGTTTCCAACCCAAAGAAAAGATAAATGTTTCAGGTGATGGATATTCCAATTACCCTGGTGTAATCATTACACATTATATACATGTACCAAAATATATATGTATTCCAAAAATATGTACAACCATTATTATCAATAATGAATAGTAAAATTTTAAAAATCTGATAGAATTTGTTGCCAACAAACCTATGCTTAAAGAAATGCTAAAAAAATTCTTGAAACTAAAATAAATTGTATTAGTTGAAAACTTGGATCTACAAAATGAAATGGAGATCATAAGAAATAATATACATTTGTAAAAGCATCAACTACATTATTTATTTATTTATTTATTTATTTATTTATTTATTTATTTATTTTTAAAATAACTGTTAAGAGGCTGGGCGCAGTGGCTCATGCCTGTAATCCCAGCACTTTGGGAGGCCGAGGCAGGTGGATCACCTGAGGTCAGGAGTTTGAGACCATCCTGACCAACATGGAGAAACCCCATCTCTACTAAAGACACAAAATTAGCTGGGATTACACATGCCTGTAATCCCAGCTACTCGGGGGGCTGAGGCAGGAGAATCCCTTGAACCCGGGAGGCAGGGTTTGCAGTGAACTGAGATTGCGCCATTGCACTCCAGCCTGGGCAACAAGAGTGAAACTCCGTCTCAATAAAAAACAAAACAAAACAAACAAAAAAACCTGTTAACAGACAAACAAACAAAACAAAACACTGTATTGTGGGGTTTATAATTCTTGTAGAAGTAAATCTATGACAACATCTGTTCAAAGGATAAAAGGGTAAATGAGATTAAACTGTTGTAAACTTCTTGCTTTTTTAATGGGGTAGTATGATATTATATGTAAGTAGATCATAATATGGTAAGTATGCATATTGCAATTCCTAATGAAACCACTTTAAAATAACATAAAGAGGCAGAGCTTAAAAGTGAATAGACTAATTTAAATCCAATACTATAAAAATTAATTTGAAAAGCACGTTAAATGCTCATGTAAGTTAAAATTAGACACATGGCGAAAGATATACCTTACAAATGTTAAATATAGACGTATGTTAAAAATCTTAAATATGGAATGGCTACATTAGTGCCCAACAAAATTAAGTTTAAGGTATATTATTGAGATTAAGCAAGGTGTTTTATAATGATGACAAAATCCACTTGTTGTAATCAACTTTTAAATATAAAATAACCCTAACCTTTAATACATTTATTTCATTGTAACAGAGGAGAGAATATCAATGGACTCATCTTTGGAGTTCAGCACAACTGTGATACTAAAATATGACATTATTCTAAACAAGAAAACTTAAGACTAATATCCTTCATGAACAGAAATAAATATCATTAACAAAAGTAGATTATTCAAAATAGCACTAAGATGTAATATATCATGACCAACAGAGTTGTATCCTAGAAATGTAAATTTCAATTTTGTTTTAATATTTGAACATCAATTTTTGTGATTCATCATTTTCAAAAAAGACAAAATTATACGATTTTTTTCAATACATGAAAAATAGTATTTGGTAAAATTAAACAGTGACTCATGACAAAAACTAACTAAACTTTGTGGTAGGGAACTTTCTCATTTATGTAAATGACATCTATGAAAAACCAACAGCTAATGCATATTTAATTGTAAAAGAATAAATATTTCTCCTAAGTTTAAGAATATTCAAAGGTATTTAATTACTTCTATTCAACATTTTACTGAAAATGTTAGCTAGTGGATTAAAGCAAGAGAAATAAAAGTCATAAAGACTGGAAAGAAAGAAAGAAAACAGCACTTATTTTCAAGTGACATAAAATCTCAATTAATCCTCCCAAAAAGTAAGCTAGAACATGTAAATTTAACAAATATATGATAATACACAAAAATCAATTGTATTTCTATATATTAGCAGAGAAGAATTGGAAAGTAAAACATAAAAAGTAAATAGACTTACAATAGTGTTGAATGTACCCATAAATTCCTGGGAATAAATTTAAACAAAATGTGCAAAATTATTAAGTTAGAAGTCACAACATTTAAGAGAAATTAAAGAAAACAAACAAATAGAAATATATACAATGTTCATGGAATGGAAAACTCAATATTGTTAAAATTTCAGTTCTCTAGCAATTTATCTATAGCAACTATTCTTGAAGTGAAATCTGCTCATTCACGTTGTTCCCAGAGACCTTGAAGGTGTTACACAAGTTTCCCCAAATAATATTAAGATGTTATTTTCTTTTTTAATTTTCATTTCCTTACGAATATATATGGTCATATTTTGAAAGGAGCGTGATGTGGGATATTGCAACAGATTTAATGCAAAAACAGATATGGGAATCCAGCTATCATCTTTTAAGTTAGAAAATAAAGAAATTGTGAATATGTAAAATATATACTAATATACTTACTAGGTAGTAAGTTCCAAAACCCCATGAACAAATACCTTTATTTATTTAATAAATGTTTAATAGAGTTTTGGGGGATACTGCTGTTTTGGGCATTCCAAAAGCATAAATATAAATTGGAGGTTTGATAAATTGTTGTTTGCACAAGTACAAAGAAATCTCAACATATATTATGTATATCATTTGTTCTGTCAAGTCTGCCTGCTGACGGGGGTACCTGGATGTTACCAGTCTCATGTCAGAAGAATCAAATGTGTCTGACACATTCTTAGATAGCTCAATAATGTGTTAATTACATTTATTTTCTTTCTAGAAAATGAGTCATTCCTACCACTTCTCTTAGTCCAAACTATGTAAGTTAAAAAAAAGTAGCAAAGGCTACCTTAGAATGATAAAAGGGTACCCTTCAATAGATACTCTTTAAAAAATGTATATGAAAAGACAAATCTTTTTAAGCTATGGAAACAAAAGGTTTTACAGATACAAAATGGTACATAATTTTATGTGTTCCATCATTGAAACATAGAGATTTATTTGTAAAACTTTCCAAACATAAATTGGATGATCAAATAAAATGATTTTGCGGAATAGTTTAAGATCCAATAGATATTTGGATATTTGATATTTAAAAGTTATAATTTTAGCATTTTATAATGTTAGGCTATTACTATCAATTAGGCTTTTATTTAAACAATGAAAGACATCAAGGAAAAGAATATCAGAATTTCTTAACAGAAATATGTAAAAAGCATGTGCCCCTTAATGATGTGTTCTTCAGGGAGAAATAATAGCAAACTCTGAGACTGTGCAGTCATGAAGGAAAGACCCTAACCACCAAACAAAAAAAGCAAAAACATCCCTGGCTGCTGAAACTACTAGAAAATTCTGTAATTATTAGTGAGCAGCTAATACAGCTAGAGTGACTGTTCAGAGACAGAAAATTTGCGTGATTAAAAATAAAACTAATTTAGGGCTATATATAGGTTTCAATTGGGGCATACAAAGCCATTGTGATAGTAAACAAAATGTCACTGTAGCAAGCTCAAATATGTAGCTGTTAGCATCACATAGAATAGAATGTTCAAATATAGATCACATTAGCACAGGTGAGATTTGTGGTGGTCTCCACAGGCTGACGACCATCACAACCACCAGCCACTTATCTCAAGTCTCCAGGGTCCTGGCCTATCTCATTTGTCTCCAACTGTAAAGAATTTAATAATTAGAAAAAACTTCTCTATTGCAGTTAGCACTAGATAAGATTACCATAATCCCAGATTTAAAAATACTTTATATCATGTTATACATACTGTATATATAATTAACTATCCTTAACCATAACAGAAATAGTAGCATAATTTAATTATTTTTGTGTGTTTTTTTCTTGTTACAAGATGTGTGTCTAATTCAGAGTATTTTTATTACAAAATATATACAATTGAAATCCATTGACTGATCTTTAAACATCTTCAAGAATAGGTAATTTTTCTTTTAAAAGTGAAAAGTACCTTGGAATTCTCTTTTCTTCATTTTACATTATGAAGAATGGATTTTATAGGTTCAAAGAAATTTGCACAGTCACAAAACTTGTTTGTGATGTCACCTTGTGTTAGCTTTATAACTCCAATTCTTAAAATTAATGCCATATCTACTTGACCTTGTCCCAAGCTTCATATCTAGTAGCATAATTTCTCTATCATGATGAAGGGAGGTTCTTTGGTCTAAGATTCTGTTCAAATGGTGGATATGGATGGACTAGTTTAATTTTCCATATTTCTAATCGTATTCTCTCACTACTCCTCTAACCTGTCTCTAATATAAATGACATGTGTCTGTTGGTATGTGTCCTGTATCCATGGTTTAGAAAGGAAGAAAAAAATAGGAAAAAGCTATGGTGAAGCAGCAAAGTTTGAAGAAGTGTCATCACTGTTGTAGTCCATCACACTCTGCAGAAGACACCTTTGTTGAGAATTCCTGACCAAATGCCGACTAGATTCCCATCTTTTTATCTGAAAGCTGTCACCATTCTGGGGACTGCAGATGTGCAAGCTGGTACAGCTCTCCTAAGACACTAGGGCTTGAGGGACTCTTTCAAGTGAGTATTGTAAGTCAGAATTACACGTCTGTCAGCTATGTCTATCTCCTTGTTGCAAGGAAGGAAACCTCCTGTCAAATAAAAGAGAAGGAGCCTTTTCTTGCCACATTAATTGAGGACTAAAATAGCTGAAAATGCTCTTTAGTGAAGAGGATAAAATTACATTAAAGTGTCTGTTTTATGAAAAAAGTTTTGTATCTACCAACTGAAACAGGTCTGTAAAACACTGCATATTACAGCGTTTTAAAGCAATCTTACTGGTCCATTTTTTTGAATAATCATTGTTTATCTCCCAGTCTTCAGACATAGCTTACATTGAATGCATGATTTATTTTCACTGTTCAAATATCCTCTTGTCTCTCAGCTATTCAGGCATTATTCAGATAGAACCAAAGTTAGCGAAGAACAGAATGACTAGTTGTTGCTAAGATCATTTATCATTCAGGCAGTACTAGGTGGCAATTTACAGTTCTAAAGGCTACTATATATTGCATAAAGGAAGCAATTTCACAGTTGAGTGATTTCTCTATCTATGTAGCCTGTACTTATTTTAGCACCTTCTTTGAGGCTAAAACACTTAGGCTAAACACTTTTTAACTGTCTGAATTTTTGTATTTTCCTTTCTACAGATGGTTATTATTTTAAGTAATAATAAGCATTGACTGGAGGAAATATTACATACTGCTAACCTTACTGAGTGTAATTAGGCTATCCAAATAAGAGAAATCCTGTGTGCTTGGCTATCTTCCTAAGATAGATGCTGTTTGAAATCTCAGCTACTAACCTGGTACTTAAGGTAATCTGTTTTCTTCTCTTTATTTCTCCGTTCTCAGAAATGTATACTGAGACATCTTCACCTCTCCTTCCTACCATAGGGTTTGCTCAGAATGACTAATCCTGTCTAATGATTTACAGATATTTAAGCTATTCCATATTTTAGTCAACTCTGATTAATTAATCAATACTTAATTAAATTTTGATAATCCCTTTCTTTCTTTAACTGACACCACACTTTGAATCTCTCTTCGCTCTTACAATAGATCCTTGTCATGGGTCCGTTATGCTGCTAGTGTGAGCAACTACAGGGCAGAAACTGAATTAATTATGTTTGTAATTCTAAATAGCAACTAGTCCATTGAAGGGAGTCAATAAATGCTTGTAAAATTGAGTGATTCAAGAATCCACACAGTCTATAAATGCATCAGAATAATTATACCTTATTAATGGCTTTTTCATTGGTGAATTATTAAATACAGAAGAAAAAGTATAAAATCTAGTGTTATATAAATGGAGTTCATTTCTCAACCTCATTATTTACCAGTATTCTGACTTGAACTCTATGAGCCTCTTTTTCTGCATCTGTCAAATGTGGATATCTACCACATTTTATTTTGGTTCATTATTTGTCAATTATTAATACTCAATAATGTAAATTCTACCATCTTATCTGATAAAAACATAAGTTTTCAGTCCTTTGTACATTTGTGATCAAGAAAAGAACATTTTTTAATGTTTAAGTATGACTTTATTAAAAATATTGTGCTGGTTGCATTTTAATATTATTTAAGAAAAAGCCATATTGTAGTTTCTGTGTATTTAAAAAAATTGAATTTATGGTGTGATTTTTTGGGATTTTCTAGACAAAAACTCCACCAGTTGAATTCTATGAATTATAATTTGTTAGCAAATTTTACTCCATTTTCCATACTAAATTATCTAATAATATGATATAAAACAATATAAGTGAAAAATGTAGCATCCATAAAATGTAATTTTATAGCTAAACCTTTAGTTTAGATATCACACTCCCAGCTAGCAACTGAAGTAGATATGTGTGTCCAGATGCTTCTCTTATAGAATAAGGAGCCTTAAATTCTGTCATTTCTCTGGCCTCTAAGATTCAGGCTAGCTTAATTAACAGCATGTATGAGAGGACAAGACCTAGTATAACTGACAGTCTTTTCTCTTATGAACTACAAAGAATAGTATTCTTCATCAAGGTTGAAAGCTACAAAAGGAGCAGGTTGAGGTTGAAAAGGTAATGAATTAGGCTGAAGCATGTTATATTTGAGGAGGTTATTTGTCTTCCACTTAGGAAGGCCACTAGGATGGCTGGATATATGGGTCTGTAGCACATCAGAGTTTTTGTGCTGAAAAGATAATTGAGAGATGGACTATTTTCCCTTGTGACTTTGGGCAAGTCACTCAACTTCCATGGGGCTAAGTAAAGCAGGTCCAGCTTTTACATGCTATGATTTTCAGAGGAAGATATTCTACCTCTCAGTTATTTAAAACTATTACTCTTTCTTCTTCATGTTTATAAGTTGTGGTATTATTGTAATCTTTCATATCCCTAGTTCATCAATCACTATTCACCATTTATGTAGTCTTTCCTAGTTTAATTATTGTGGGGAAAAGAGACACGCAAAAGGAATATAGGAAAAATTTAGAGAAGAAAATGTATTTTATTATTTTTTTTTTATTATACTTTAAGTTTTAGGGTACATGTGCACAACATGCATATTAGTTACATATGTATACATGTGCCATGTTGGTGTGCTGCACCCATTAACTCATCATTTAACATTAGGTATATCTCCTAATGCTATCCCTCCCCCATCCCCCACCCCACAACAGGCCCCAGTGTGTGATGTTCCCCTTCCTGTGTCCACGTGTTCTCATTGTTCAATTCCCACCTATGAGTGAGAACATGCGGCGTTTGGTTTTTTGTCCTTGCGATAGTTTGCTGAGAATGATAGTTTCCAGTTTCATCCACGTCCCTACAAAGGACATGAACTCATCATTTTTATGGCTGCATAGTATTCCATGGTGTATATGTACCACATTTTCTTAATCCAGTCTATCATTGTTGGACATTTAGGTTGGTTCCAAGTCTTTGCTATTGTGAATAGTGCCGCAATAAACATACATGTGCATGTGTCTTTACAGCAGCATGATTTATAAACCTTTGGGTATATACCCAGTAATGGGATTGCTGAGTCAAATGGTATTTTGATGTTTACAGTAACTCTTGTGATGTTCTGTTCAATCTTATTTGATTTTAGAGACTTACAGCTGTGACTTTTAGACAATCCACTGCTTCCCTCCTCAATCATCTTAGTGTTTATTCATCATATCTGTAATCTATTCCTAGAGTGCAGTGGTGCTATCATGGCTCCCTGCAGCCTCGACTTCCCTGGCTCAGGAGATTCTCCCACTTCAGCCTCCCAAGTAGCTGGGACTACAGGCACACACCACCATGCCTGACTAATTTCTTGTATTTTTTGTAGAGACAGTTTTTTTGCTATGTTGTCCAGGCTGGTCTCAAACTCCTGAGCTTAAGTGATCCACCAGCCTGGCCTCCCAAAATGCTGAGATTACAGGCATGAGACACTGCGCCCAGCCTATTCACTCTTTTATCATCACCCAAATCTCAATTTCTATACAATGTAAAAATGTAATTATGTACTTTCTGAATAGTTTACACATACTTAGTTTCTTCATTATGTTTCTAAATTAGACATTTGATTTTCTCATCAGCCTGTTATTTTTCTTTGGCTTTTCCCTCTATTTATTTACATATTTGGGAGAATGAAAGAGAGGTAGATGGCCAAAGTTCAATGTCACCAACATTACTGCCTACCTTCATGGGCCCACTTCAAACCTGTCTCTAAAATGTTTCCAAACATATCCAGTTTTAATCACCCTTCCACGGCTACCCACTATGCCCCATGGTTCTGGTACTCACCGCACTCTGCTTTTTAGTAGGACCATTTTTCCTGGTAGATCATCAGTGCCTTGATTACAGGACCCGAGCATTACTTAATTTTGAGATGAAAGCTCAGTACAGATTATCTTTTCAGTAATATTTTTGTTATCTTAATCTCAGGAAATGCAAAATTTTCATCAAGTTTTAACTACTTTCACAACAGTTTTTAATAGTTATTTTTTATATTCTTCCATATCTTTTTAAAATTTCTTCTTTCATGAATGTTTTCTGTTGGGTGATTTATATGTGTTTGTGACAGGAGGCAGTTGAGAAAGAAAGGAGAGATGTTGGGATAACAATCTGAGAATGAGATGAGAGGAGAGAGATTTGTTAAAGACAGATGTTTCAGCAAATTATCTTTATCATCAAGCAATATAAGAAAGTAAATTTAATCATTAATTTATGCTAATATATCAACTCTTTTTAAGTTTTCTTTTGTTTTAATAGACACATAATAATTGTACATATTTACAGGACACAGTGTGATGTTTTAGTACACATATACATTGTGTAAAATGATTAAATCAGGATGATTAGCATATCTACTGCTTCAAACATTTATCATTTTTTTGTGGTGAAAATATTCAAAATTCACACTTTTAGCTATTTTTAAATATATAATAGATTTCTAAATTTGAACCACTCTACAAAGCACCAATCACTGACCCATTATTGTATAAACCAACTTGCCCCTACTATGCCTCAGCCCCCAAATTCTCTGGCCCTACCTTGAAATACATGTCTATTTACCCTCCAAATTAGAAAGTGGCATACAAAGTGAATTTATATATGCATTGGAAATGTTTTCTATGGGTTGCCATATTTTCTTTATTATTCTGAAGCAAAAATTGTAAAAAGATCTGTTTAAGCAAATCATTTTCCTTCACTGATCCTCAGTTTTTTTATCTTTGAAACCAAGAAGTTAAACCAGATGTCTTCTGAAGTCCCATCCATCTCTAAGACTCCATAAATCTGCGACTCAATAATACACATCTTGTATAAGTTCTGAAAGAATTAATGTTTGTAAAATAATTTAAGATTCAAAGATGAAAGTTTTTATGCTAGTTTCAGAAACTATTTTTATTTAATGAGGCATATCAGAAAAGTCAGATTTACCTGGGCATAGCTGCTATCAGTGGCATATTAGGATCTACCTATAACCAGTACTGACCTAAAAGAGGAAAAACATAACAAGAACATCACAAACCTAGCAGGAGATTATGGTGGGTAGAAAGTGTAGTCATTTATTACATCAAAAACCAGAAATTGAGAATACAACATGTGAATACTTTCTAATTTTTCCACTTTACAGAAAGCGTAGAAGAAGAAGAAAAAAAAAAGCCTTTCTCCAAAGAGAAATTCTATTATAGAGAAAACTTTTCTGTTGTGGCAAAAGATCCGAAGTTGTTGCTCCTGGGGGTTGGAGGTTAGTTTGAAGGGAAGTGACATGAGACACTTTGGGGTGATGGTAACCAAAAAGCTTCTCTCTTCACATTACATGGCTTAAAATGCCTACTCAGAATATCGTTTTGAATGTTGAAACAGCAATGCAATTCTGCTATCTCCCAATGTTTTATTATGAGCATATCCAGATTGAGGAACTTTCTGCAAAATTCTCCTCTTTAATCTTAAAGTTTTCTAAGTTATGGAGCAAAAACAAAGATGAGGAAGTGTTCCAGATTAAAGGAAATTGAAGAGATGTGACAATGAAATACATTATGTAATAACAAATTGAATCCCAAATCAGACTAAAGCCCTTAGTGGGAAAATTCATATAACTTGAATAAAGTCTGTAGATTACATACTAGTACTGCATTAATGTTAATTTTCTGATTTTTGTAACTGAAATCTGTTTATGGAGAAGAATGCTCTTGTTTATTAAATACATACAGTGAAATACTTGGAGGTAAAGAGATATTTTGTCTAAATCTTACTTATAAACATTTCAAATATATATTTACATTTACATTTACCTATTTATGTTTCTATCCATACATGTATATATGTATATGCTGATATTCACACTCAGAATAACACAAGCCAAGTGTAGTAAGAGGTTGATATTTGGGAATCTGGGTAAAAAACATGTTCCAATTTTTTAATACTATTTTCACTACATATTAGTAAGTTTGAAATTATTTGAAATAAAAAATATGCCAAATTCTGTTGAACTAGAAGAATGGAAATATTAATTTCAAATATTAAAGTAACAATTGTGGATAAATTAATAAAATTCCTCCTCTTATTTTACATATTTAGGGTAGGTTTACTTGCTTAATTGAGGTCATAGAATAGAAAGAGGATTTCTAAGTAAGAAATTTAAGGTCTATTGTATATCCAGGTTTTTGAAAAAATTAATACAAAATTTATGATGGACTTTTGTTTCTGGAAGGATATTAAAGAAGATATTGTAAAAGACCCTTACAGTGCAAGCACTGGAGATACAGTGCATATATAGCTAATATATGTGTGTATATATGTCTATATGTGTGTCATATATATATTTTCTGCTCATAATTCTTTTCAGTAAGAAATCTACAAACAACAAAAGCAAAATGAAACCAGGAATTTAAGGAGATAAACTAGTGTTAAAACTAGATTTTAGTCTGAGTGTTTTATTTTGATTAATAATGCTCAGATGTGGAGTACAAGATAAAATGTAGGTTTCTTTTTAGGTATTTCTTAGTCTAATATAGAGTAAAATAAGAAAGATAGGAACATTGATTTTAGACATTTAGTAAAAAAAGAAATAGTATCATACAAGTGAGGTAGTATTAAAAAGATACAAAATTTTAGAAAGACAAATTAGGTTTAAGTCTAGGTCTTTCCAATTACTAGTTTCATGGTTGCAGGTAAACACTGCATACTCTGCACTTCAGCATAATAATCTAAAAATGAAAGTAATAATATACCTGCATCCATATTTCCTAGCTCACAATTTAGAAACTTGTTACATGTTAGCTATCATAATCATTAACAACATAATACAATTTATCATTCTTTAAAAAGCAATAGACTTTGTTTTTTTAGCAGTTTGGGTTTACAGAAAATTGAACAGAAAGTACAGTGAATTCCCATACTCCCTCTTCCACGTGCTTCCCCCAAACCCATTTATCTTATTATTAACATCTTGCATTGGTGCGTGTAATACTATAAATGATGAAACTATTCATACATTATTATTAACTAAAGTTAGTAATTTACATTAGAGTTTATTCTGTGTCTTGTAGTTCTATGTGTTTTGCCAAATCATAATGTAATGTTGTCATTATGTTATCACAGAAAATAGTTTCACTGGTCTAAAGGTATCCGGTGCTACACTTATTTATCTCTTTCTCCCACTCCTTCCCTTCTTAACCCCTGCACAGAAAAAAAAATCATGGAGGGATATATAATAATGTGTTAAAATCTTTCCTTTGGTTGGTTGGCTAATAATTCATATTTATTTTCCTTTTTTTGCTTTTATTCATAGACTGTTGAATTCAGAGGTTTAGCACCTAGAACTTGGAATCAGAAGGAAATGTTTTCCAATATTGATTCCACCACTTAGCAGGGGAATAATTAGTCTAATATTACACAGCCTGGATTTCCTTTTTGTTTCTAGCCTGACATGTTGAATGTATGCACTAAATTGAAAAAATACATTTAAAGTGATAATTTCTAGTGTCAGACATATGAAGTTCCAGTAAATGGTAATCATTAGTTTCGTAATAGGGTTTAACTGCATTTTCCTCAAGTTTTCAACAGGAAAGAGATGTTAAGCTTTTAATTATTTTTAAAAATGTTTTAGAAAAATATCAACTGCATAAAGTCCTGAAGTTATTTGGTCTAAATTTGTGAGTATAGTTTCGAATATAAAAAATATTACTTGCAATATGGCAGTAACTAATCAAAGAAGTGTCCACAAAATTTAGAAAGTTTACACTTGGGAGCAAGGATGGCTGTTGAGAATGGATAAGGAAAAGCAATAGTTTTTCATTATATCCTTTATGCACTTATTTGATTGTACTTTGATAGGAATCAAGAAAATCTATTAAAAAGAAACTTAATTTAAAAAATGATTTGAAAGAAACTATTTTCTAAAACATTAATTTATTCTAAATTTGAGTAAAGTAATTACAAAGTTGAAAGTGAAATTGCCTTTTGATAATTAATGGAATTGTTTCCTTTGTACAAACGCTGGAGGGCAGTTTAAATTGAATAGAATCGGAAAGGACCTACATTCACTAATAAATGTAATGTGCTGAGAAAAACACTTGGCAATTGTAAGAAACATATATGGGCTATTATTATTATTTTTCTCTGTTTTCATGGCCAATCCTATTGATACAGTGATTCTGACATGCTTACTTTCTGAAGAGTTCAGTCATGATTGAAAAAGCACCCATTGCAGATTGGCAACCACAAATATGACAATTGTGACAAAGTAGGGATAAACTGGCAGAGTCCTGGAAATATTCTAGATAGATGGACAAATATTGTAAGAGTATCTGAGAGAATAAATATTTTATACAAATATATGCAAATAATATGCTATCACATTATTTGGAGGGATATGAGAGAGGTGGATAGCAATATTATTTTGCAATATTATTTTGCAAAATATTGCAAAATAATAGCAATATTATTTTGCAAAATATTGCAAAATAATAGCAATATTATTTTGATTGACATATCCTTATACAGTGAAAAGAACACTGGTTTGGGCCTTAGACAGATTAGTTATGAATCCCACATGGCTAAAGGCCCATAAACAAATGAACTGAACTCTTCCTATCTAATATTTTTAATCTATAAAATTTGAATAATAATATCCACAAGATAGGAGTTTTGAAAAGGATCAAGTGAGGTAATGCATATGAAGTAGGAACAGTGCTGGTAGATACTAAACATTTAGCCAATGTAAGCTTAAGTCCCTACCTGATGTCCTCAAAACTTTGCCCGGAAAGGAAAACCTCCAAACAAACCCTGAAGTTTTTAATAGTACATACTCAATATTTTTGTGTATGTCTATATATAACTATTATACAATTTTTGTCTTAATATTTCATGTATTATTTATTAAATATTCGATCAAATATTTGTTAAGTATCAAATATGACACATACGTGTACATGCACTTCTTAATACATGTACACACACACAAATAAATACACACACACATATATAGTCATCTCTTTGTATCCTTAGAAAATTAGTTCCAGAACCCCTGCTGATAACAAAATCCTGGAATGCTCAAGTTCCTTATATAAAAATGCATGTAACCTACACACATGTTCCTCTATCCTCTATACTTTATATCATCCTAGATTACTTATAATTCCAAATACAATATAATGCTATATAAACAGTTGTCTTTCTTTCTCCTTCTTTCTTTCTTCTTTCTTTCATTCTTTCTTTCGTTCTTTCTTTTTCTTTTCCCTCCCTCCCTCCCTTCTTTCCTTCCTTCCTTCCTCTTCTCTCTTTCTTTCTCTCTCTCTTTTCTTTGTTTTTCTTTCTCTCTTTCTTTTCCCTCCTTCCTTCCTTCCTGTCTTTCTTTCTTTCATTCTTGCATTCTTTCTCTTTTTCTTTTCCCTCCCTCCCTTCTTTCCTTCCTTCCTTCCTCTCTCTTTCTTTCTTTTTATTTCTTTCTTTCTCTTTCTTTCTCTCTCTTCTTTCTTTTTCTTTTTCTCTCTCTCTTTCTTTTCCCTCCTTCCTTCCTTCCTGTTTTTCTTTCTTTCTTTCTTTCTTTCGTTCTTTCTCTTTTTCTTTTCCCCCCCTCCCTCCCTTCTTTCCTTCCTTCCTTCCTTTCTTTCTCTTTCTCTCTTTCTCTCTCTTTCTTTCTTTTTCTTCCTTTCTTTTTCTTTCTCTCTTTCTTTCTTTTTCTTTCTTTCTCTCTTTCTTTTCCCTCCTTCCTTCCTTCCTTTCTTTCTTTCTTTATTTCTTTCTCTTTTCCCTCCCTCCCTCCCTTCTGCTGTTTCTTTTCTTTCTTTCTCTTTCTTTCTCTTTCTTTCCTTCTCTCTCTTTCTTTCTTTCTCTCTCTCTTTCTTTTCCCTCCTTCCTTCCTTCCTCTTTCTTTCTTTCTTACTTTCTTTCTTTCTCTTTCTTTCTTTCTCTCTCTCTCATTCATTCTTTCTTTCTCTCTCTCTTTCTTTTCCCTTCCTTCCTTCCTTGCTTCCTTCCTTCCTCTCTTTCTTTCTTTCTCTCATTCGTTCTTTCTTTCTCTCTCTCTCTTTCTTTTCCCTTCCTTCCTTCCTTCTTTCCTTCCTCTTCTTTCTTTCTTTCTTTCTTTCTTTCTTTCTTTCTTTCTTTCTTTCTCTCCTTCTCTCTTTCTTTCTTTCTTTCTATGGAGTCTTGCTTTGTCACCCAGGTAGGAGGGCAGTGGAGAGATCTCGGTTCACTGCAACCTCTGCTTCCCATGCTCAAGTGATTCTCCTGCCTCAGCCTCCTGAGAAGTTGGGATTACAGGCACCCACCACTATGCCCAGCTAATTTTTGTAGTTTTAGTAGAGACAGGGTTTCATCATGTTGGTCAGGCTGGTCTCAAACTCCTGTCCTCAAGTGATCTGCCCTCTTTGGCCTCCCAAAGTGCTGGGATTACAGGCATGAGCCACTGCATCTCGCCTTGTATTGCTGTTTAAATTTGTATTATCATCTATTGTATTTGTTTTCAATTTTCTGAATATTTTTGATCTAAGATTTGTTTGAAACCATAGATGTAGAACAGTGGACATGGAGAGCCGACTGTATGCTTTTTTCCCATTGTAGCTGTTAGGTATATAAAAGGCAATAACAAAATATTAAATAATTAAAATATCTGCCTGGGTGCGGTGGCTCATGCCTGTAATCCCAGCACTTTGGGAGGCCGAGGCAGGCGGGTGGATCACGAGGTCAGGAGATCGAGAACATCCTGGCTAACACAGTGAAACCCTGTCTCTACTAAAAATACAAAAAAGAAATTAGCCGGACGTGGTGGCAGGCACCCGTAGTCCCAGCTACTGGGGAGGCTGAGGCAGGAGAAAGGCATGAACCCAGGAGGCGAAGCTTGCAGTGAGCCAAGATCGCACCACTGCACTCCAGCCTGGGCTACAGAGCGAGACTCCATCTCTAAAATAAAATAAAATAAAATAAAATAAAAAATAAAATAAAATAAAATAAATAAAATAAAATAAAATAAAATAAAATAATAAAGAAATAAAAATAATTAAAATATCTGAGTATTCACTATCTGCCATTTCCTGTAATAACTTCTTTAAATACATTATCTCATTGTATCCCTCACAACTGCCCTGTAACGTAAGTATTGTTATTATGTGCATTTTACAGCTGGAAAAACTGAGAATTAAATTAACTCCATCGTTAAGCCTGTGTGACACAACTCATGAACATCAGAGTAAGTGTTTCCACCTAAGTGTGTTTTCTTGCAGCGTCCACCTCTCTCATATCCTTCCATTACTGCTATCTCTGAAATCAGGGCTGGAATTTTATTTACTTATTTATTTATTTATTTATTTGAGTGTCGCTCTGTCACCCAGGCTGGAGTGCAGTGGCATGATCTTGGCTCACTGCAACCTCTGCCTCCCGTGTTCAAGCCATTCTCCTGCCTCAGCCTCCCATGTAGCAGGGACTACAGGCGGGTGCCACCATGCCTGGCTAATTTTTTTGTATTTTTGGTAGAGATGGGGTTTCATCATGTTAGCCAGGATGGTCTCGATCTCCTGACCTCATGTTCCACCCGCCTCGGCCTCCCAAAGTGCTGGGATTACAGACGTGAGCCACCATGCCTGGCGGGGAATATTACTAATGCTCTTCTAGTCTCATGTATGCAAGCTGAACACTTAAGAATCTCATGCTTGGCTTTTAGTGTACACATTTACATTTCATCAGTCACAAAGTCCTGTTCATCTTGCTCCTATATAGCTCCCACATTCTTTCAATTCTCTTTCCTCTCTACTTCTTTAAGCTACCACCCTTTCCCAAAGGAATTTAGTAGCCGCTAAACTGTCCCTCCCACCTTCAGTTTGGCATCATCCAAATAATCCATTTATTGCAACAAAACATTTCTTACTAAAATACATTATGCCATGCCTAGACGACTTTCACTTCACCCATGGAGGTAAGCTGGTGCGCTGACTTTCAACTTTGACAACTGCAGGCTACAAAGGAGTAGCACGTGGAGGATATGCATTTGAACTTTCACTGAAGGCAGACACATAGAAGAAAACAGTCAAGGGTGTTGGTGCTGGCAGCTCTCTCCTTTGGGAAGAACGTAGGAGCCCCATAGAGAGCCCAGGACTGCAGATTTTGAGGGGTATATTGCGGAGAGTCCGTGATCAATTAATCGTTAGAAATACAGCGTGTACTTCTCTGCATCTGGTCCTCAAATTGTTGAAACAAAATTAGAGAGCAGAGGGTTACAGGAATATATACAAAGTTGCCTTCTCATTTCCCCCTTTCTCCAGCTCTTCTGGCTCTAAATAGCCCCAAATGTATTGGGCCATCAGCATTTTCACCTCACTTCCTATTACATTATCTTGCCAAGGGAGTGAGTGAGGAGAAAAAATTTTTTTATTATTATTATACTTTAAGTTCTAGGGTACATGTGCACAAGGTGCAGGTTTGTTACATATGTATACATGTGCCATGATGGTGTGCTGCACCCATTAACTCGTCATTTACACTAGGTATATCTCCTAATCTTAAAGAAGATAAATAAATGCTCTTAAAAGCAAATAGTTCTGCCTTCTCACCCCTCCATCCCCACTAAGACCCCTCTAAAGGGACACATTTACATTTCTACAGTCTCATTTTTAGAGTTCTAGTTTGGAACTGCAATCTATCATGCTGGAGAGGGAATTCACATTAGTCCGACCAGTACGCGGGGGCCACTTCTTCCACCAAGGAGGCTGGGAAAACAGGCGCGGTGGGTGGGGGTGCCAGGGCACTGAGGTGAAGGGTTAGAGCAAAGAAACACGAATTCTGGCAGAGAGAGTGAAGGAATCCGGGATAATGAAGCCTCCTGCTTTTCGTATTTGCTGTTTCATTGCACCTGTTGCAGTATTGAGAAACTGGAAAGAGTGCAGGTAGGTGCGCCTAGGAAGCGCCAAAGCAAAGCAATTGCGCAAACTGAAGGAAGGTGAACGCAGAGTGTTCGGTACAGACCTCTAGAGTGGGGGCGATGTCAATAGTATGTTTGTCTATCCTGACGGGGATGGGTGACTGTGAGGGGTGGAGGGGTCCTGTGTTGCACCTGTCACTGTTCTAGACCTGGTGGAGGATGCTGCGGCAGGTGCTTCGCAGAGGGCTCCAGTCCATCGGCCACAGGCTGGGCTTGTGTGTGAGCCGGCACCCGGTCCTTTTCCTCACCGTGCCCGCAATCCTGACCACCACCTTCGGCCTCAGCCTACTAAACCGCTTCCAGTCCGAAGGTGACTGGGAGCGCCTGGTCGCTCCAGCCACAACCTGGCCAAGATCCAGCACAGCCTGGCCAACAGCCTTTTCCCCCTGGACCAGTCCAAAACCCAGCTCTATTCGGACTTGCACACCCCTGGGTGGTATGGCAGGGTGATCCTACTCTCCCCACCTAGGGACAATATTTTGCTCCAGGCTGAGGGGATCCTGCAGACCCACTGAGCCCTGATGGCAATGAAGTGAGCAAGGGCTTTTCCCCATCTGGCAATGAGAAACGTCAGCGTAAGAAACGCCTGCCAGAAGATATTATTTCAGTGCTAAAGAAGTTTCAGGAAGGGTACAAAACAACAAGGAAGGTGCTAATGTGGTATCCCAACACTAAATTAAAGGTATGCTAGGTATGCATGCTTCTGACAGTTAAAGAAGTAGCACTCCATTTCTCACCTTAAGCAAAGAAATATAAATAACAGTGATCTCATTCTCAAGATTCAGCAGATAATTGCTTATTTTGCTGAGGTGAAGGGGGATGGACAATGTGGGACGAGTGGGAGGAAAAACATTAAGTAAAACAATATTATGCACAATTATATATATATGTATATATATGTGTATATATATGTGTGTATATATGTGCATATATATGTGTATATATGTGTATATATGTGCATATATGTGTATATATATGTGTATATATATATGTGTGTGTGTATATATATATATATATATATATTTTTTTTTTTTTTTTACTTGGGGATGTGGATGGTTTTTCCACATTGCCTGGACTTTCTTTCCATTGCCAGGTGACATAAACACATATTTCCCAGCAGCCTAGCTTGAATTTGATATATGAGTATATGAGTATCTGTAGTACCTATGAATGCCTGAATGTCTGTTAGTAATAAGCTATGATTATAATCGGGATTCCAAAAATTTGTGTATGACTCTAGTAGGAATTCTAACAATTTTGTATAATTGGTATAATTGTTTTTGTATGCAAAAATAGCTAAAACCCTCTAAATATAAATAAAAACTATATGACATTAAATAATAAATTAGCAAAAGAGTCAGCAAACTTTTTAAGTAAACAACCATATAGTCAATATTTTGGGTTTTGCAGGCAATATAGTAGTCTCTTTTGTATATTTTTATTTTTCCTCTTCTCTTTTCATTTTTCTCTTTAGAATGTTTTTAACAATCCTTTAAAAGTGAAAAAAAAAATTAGCTCTCAGGCCAAACAAAAACAGGCCAAGGATTTGATTTAGACCCTGGATCATAGTTTGATAACTGATGAACTAGAAAGTTGTGTAACATTAGAAGTGGATACCTTCCCTTTTACAAAACCCAAGCTAATCATGTGTATCATAAATGATCCTGTGTGTGTGTGTTGTAGCAAAAATAACACAGAAAATGATTAACAGTAAAGAAATTGTGTAATAAAGTCTTCAGTCTAATTGTTCACTCTAACTCATGGCTAGATTGTCAGAATTGAACTGCTGCAGGCAAAAAGGCATGCAGACTTCAGATAGATTAAGTTTCAGGGAAAAATGTAACTTCCAGTAGATACACAGCTCCATTTGTATGCTTGATCCTGTGCATCCTTGGAAAGTGCTAAGATAGGAAGAGTGAAATCCTAAGCCAGATGTAGTTCCAAAAGATAGATCATTTTTGCTAACGTAAGTATGCATTTCCTTCAGTGTATTGTGTTTGCCATTAGTGTCCTGAGGAATTTGAAATAGACTTCAGAAAAACAATATTAATATTGTTTATTTATTGAATTTTTAGAGATTTGTTTATGTAGGATTTATGTGCTATTGTTCATATATTGAATTCATTATTGGATTATATTTATAGATTTGTGAATAAAATTATAAATTTATTTATAATAGTTATTATTTACTGAATTTATCATTTATGTATTGAATTTATAGATTATAGCCAAATCAAAACTAAGTTTTGGCCAGGCTCGGTGGCTCATGCCTGTAATCCCAGCACTTTGGGGGCCGAGGCGGGTGGATCACTAGGTCAGGAGATCAAGACCATCCTGGCCAACACAGTGAAACCCCGTCTCTACTAAAAAATACAAAAAAATTAGCCGGGCGTGGTGGCGGGCACCTGTAGTCCCAGCTACTCAGGAGGCTGAGGCAGGAGAATGGCGTGAACCTGGGAGGCAGAGCTTGCGGTGAGCCGAGATAGCGCCACTGCACTCCAGCCTGGGCGACAGAGCAAGACTCCTTCTCAAAAAAATAAAAAAGAAAAAAAGAAAAGAAAAGAAAACAGAACTAAATTTCTTAGTTAATTTAAGCAGAACAGTAACCTTCCTTCAAAATGAATGAATATTCAATGCATTTGGACATGTTGGGAAGTTTGTGATTACTCAGGAAACCAATAATCAGGTAATTAGCTTGTAATGACTATGCTATATAGGTCCCACTCATCTATTTTGGTTTTTGTTACAATTGCTTTTGGAGACTTAGTCACAAATTATTTGCCAAGGTGGATGTCAAGAAAGGTATCTTCTAGGTTATCTTCTAGAATTTTTATAATTTGAGGCCTTCCATTTAAATCTTTGATTCATTTCTAGTTAATTATTTTATGTGGAGAAAGGCAGGGACCCAGCTTCATTCTTCTACATATGACTAGCTAGTATCCCAGCACTACTTATTGAATAAATTTATTGCTTGTTTTTGTCAGCCTTGTAAAAGATTAGGTGGTTGTAAGTGTGCAGCTTTATTATTTATTTATTTATTTATTTTTTTGAGACAGAGTCTTGTTCTGTCACCCAGGCTGGAGAGCAGTGGTGCGATCTCAGCTCACTGCAACCTCCACTTCCCAGGTTTAAGCAATTCTCGTGCCTCAGCCTCCTGAGTAGCTGGGATTACAGGCGAGCGCCACCATGCCCAACTAATGTTTTTGATTTTTAGTAGAGAGGAGGTGTCACCATGTTGGCCAGGCTGGTCTTGAACTCCTGACTTCTAGTGATCCTCCAGCCTTGGCGTCCCAAAGTGTTGGGATTACACTCATGAACCACCACACCTGGCCTATGCAGCTTTATTTCTGAGTTTTCTATTTTCTTCCCTTGCTATATGTGTCTCATTTTATACCAGCACCATGCTGTTTTGATTGCTGAAGCTTCATAGTATAGTTTGAAGTTGGGTAGTGTGATTGATGCCTCTAGATTTAATGTACATAAGATTGCTTTGGCCATTCAAGTTCTTTTTTGGTTCCATTGAATTTTAAAATAGTTTTTTCTAATTCTGTGGGGAGTAATATTGGTAGTTTAATAAGAATAGCGTTGAATCTGTACATTGCTTTTGGCAGTATGGCTATTTGCATTATATTGATTCTTTCAATCCATGAGCATGGAGTGTTTCTCCATTTGTTTGTGACATCTCTGATTTCTGTCAGCAGCTCTTCTTGTAGAGATCTTTCACCTCCTTAGTTAGCTGTATTTCTAGATAATTCATTTTCTTTGTGGCTATTGTAAGTAGGATGGTGTTCTTGATTTTACTGTTAGCCTGGACATTGTTGGTGTATAGACATGTTATTGATTTTTGCACATTGATTTTGTATCCTGAAACTTTGCTAAAGTCATTTATCAGCTCTGGTAGCTTTTTGGCAGAGCCTTTAGGATTTTCTAGGTATAGAATTATATGATCCATAAGGAGAGATTGATTTCTTATTTTCCTATTTGAATGCCTTTTATTTCTCTCTCTTGCATGATTGATCTGGCTAGGACTTCCAGTACTATGTCATTCTCTTCTTCCAGTTCTCAAGGGGAATGGTTTGAGCTTTTGCCCATTCAGTATCATGTGGGCTGAAGGTTTGTCGTAGATGGCTCTTACTCTTTTAAATCTGTTCCTTCAATTCCTAGTCTGTTGACAGATTTTTTTAAATGAAGTGATGTTGGATTTTATTGAAAGCTTTTTCTGCATCTATTCAGATGATCATGTGGTTTTTGCTTCTAATTTTGGTTATGTGGTGAATCACACTGGCTGATTTGCACATGTTGAACCAGCTTACTTGATTGTGGTTTATTAACTTTTTGATGTGCAGCTCTATTTTGTTGTTAATATTTTGTTGAGGATTTTTGCACCTATATTCATCAAGGATATTGGCCAGAATTTTTTTTTCATTGTGTCTTTGCCATATTTTTGTATCAGGCAGATGCTGGCTAGATATAGTGAGTTAGGGAGAAGACTCTCCTCATTTTTTTTGGAATAGTTTCAGTGGGATTGGTACCAGTTCTTCTTTGTACATTTAGCAGAATTTGGCTGTGAATCCAGCTGCTCCAGGGCTTTTTTTTGGTAGTAGATTCTTTCTGTAAGATCAGTTGCTATATTGCCTTTGTAATTTCTGATTGTGTTATTTGGATTTTCTCTTTCTTTTTCTTTGTTTATCTAGGGATCTATCATTTTTTAAAATTATTTTGAAGAACAAATAATTGGTTTCATTCATCTTTTGTAAGGATATTCGTGTCTCAAATATATTTAGTTTTTCTGTAATTGTAGGTATTTATTTTCTTCTGCTAGCTTTGGAATTGGTTTGTTCTTTTTTTTTCTAGTTCCTTTAGGTGCAAAATTAGATTGTTAATTTGAGATATTCATAATTTATTGATGAAGGTGTTTAGTGCTATAAGCTTTCCTCTTAACATTGCTTCAGCTGTATCTCAGAGATATTGGTAAGCTGTCTCCCTATTTTCATTAATTTCAGTTTTTAAAAAAAATTCTGCCTTAATTTCAATGTTCACTCAAGAGTTATTCAGGAGTAAGTTGTGTAATTTTCATGTATTTGTATAGTTTTGAGAAACCTTGACATTGACTTCTATATGTATTGTAATGTGAGCTGAGACTGTGTTTGGTATGATTTTGATTTTTTTGTTTATCGAGACTTATTTTATGACCTAGCATGTGGTTGATCTTAGAATATGCTCTGGGTGCAAATGAGAAAAATATATATTCTGTGATTGTCCAGTGAAGTTGTCTTTAGATGTCTATTAGATCCAATTGGTCAAGTGATAAGTTTAACTCCAGAGTTTGTTTTCTGCCTCAATGATGTGTCTAACGCTGTCAGTCATGTATTGAAGTCTTCTACTATTGTGGTACAGCTGTCTAAGTATTTTCATGGGTCAAAAAGAACTTGTATTATGAAAATGGGTGCTCCAATTTGGGGTGCGTATATATTTAGAATAGTTTGGATTGTACCTTTTGTCATAATGTAATGCCTTTCTTTGTCCTTCTAATTGTTAAAGGCTTAAACTGATATGAGAATCAGTTTTTTATCTGATTTAAGAATAAAGATGCCTGTTCTTTTTTGTTTTCCATTTGTATAGTAAATCTTTCTCCAACGCTTTACTTTGATTCTGTTTGTGTTGTTACATACAAGATGAGTCTCTTGAAGACAATAGATGGTTGGGTCTTTTCTTTTTATCCAGCTTGGCATGCTATGTTTTTAAGTGGTGTGTTTAGCCCATTTATATTCCAGGTTAGACTTGACATATGAGATTGTGATCCTGTCATCATTTGTTAGCTGATTGTTACATAGACTTGGTTGTATAGTTGCTTCATAATGTCTGTGGACTATGTTTTTAAGTGAGTAGTTGCGGTAGCAGATGTTCTTTTGATTCCATGTTTAGCAGTCCCTTAAGGACTGCTTGTTAGGCTGGTCTAGTTGAAACAACTTCCTTCAGCACGTGCATGTCTGGGAAGAATTTTATTTCTTCTTCATTTACAAAGCATAGTTTGGCAGGGTGTGAAATTCTTCGTTGAAATTCTTTTTCTTTAAGGATGATGGAAATAGGCCACCAATATCTTCTGAACCTTCTCTCTAGATGCCTTTAAGATTTTTTGTTTTGTATTGACCTTGGTGAATCTGATGACTATGTGCCTTGGGGATGGTCATCTTGTATGATATCTAGCTGAGGTTCTCTGTATTTCTTGAATTTGCTTGTCAATGTCTCTATCAAGAATAGAAAAATTTTCATGCATTATATCTTCAAATATATACTCCACCTTGCTTTTTCTCTCTCTTTTTGTCTCTCTCTACAATATCAATGAGTTATAGGTTTGATCTCTTTATGTAATACCATATTAGTAGAATTGTTTTCATTTTTTAAAATTCTTTTTTCTTTATTTTTGTCTAATTGAGTTCATTTGAAAAACCTGTCTTCAAGCTTTGCAATTCTCTCCACAGTTTGGTCTATTCTACTGTGAATGCTTCTGATTATATTATAAAAATTTTCATAGCGAATTTTTCAGCAAAATAAATTCAGTTTTGTTCTTTCTTAAAATGGCTATTTTATCTTTCAGCTCTTGAATTATTTTACTGAATGGCTTGGCTTCCTTGGATGGGATTTAACCTTGTTCCTGGCTCTTGATGAGCGTCCTTGCCTTCCAGATTCTAAGTTCCATGACTTTCATTTCAGTCATTTCAGACTGGTTGAGAACCATTACTGGGGAGCTAGTGGGCTCATTTGGAGGTAAGAGAACACTCTGGCTTTTTGAATTGCCAAGTTCTTATACTGATACATTTTTTTTTTATCTGAGAGGGCTGGTGCTTCTCTAACTGTGGTTAATTTGAATATTATCAGTTGGCTTCATTTCTGTAAGTTTTCAGAGGGCTAAAGCTCTGTGCAGAATCTTGTTTGTTATTGAATTCTTCTGCAGTGGAGAAAATTAGCAAAGTGTTTTTTGATGATGTAGTTTGGACTACGAGCCCATAGATAGTCCTGGAGAGCAATGAGTGGTAGATAGGTTCTTACTCAGCGGTGGCTCCTTTGCCTGTCCTTACATTTGTAGCTGTGCTTTTCAGTGAGAAGTGACTCCTCACCAGGTCTGCTCCTGGGTCTTGAGGTAGTGACTTCCAATCACTGGTGCTGTATCTGTGGGATATTTGTAATTATTAGATGTTTTGGGCCATCAGGCTTCCTTAGGCAGAGATCTGGCAGGGAGATAGGCCACTCTTACTGGACAAGTCCTGTGGAGTGAGGCATACCCAGGTTCCACAAAAGCTTGTAAAACTGTACAACTCACCTGTCTCAGTTTTCTGTAAGTGTTGGCTCCTCCTCAGCTTTCCTAGTTTGAGCCAGGCAAAGATCCAGGCTCAACACTCCCAAGCCATTTGCCACATCCCTGGAGCACCAGGACCTGCTTTTGATTCCCTCCTCCAGCACTTTGGGGTTGATTTCTCTGTGTGCTGGGGGATCTGATGGGTACCAGGCTCCCAGAATGCATCCAGGCTGAGCAGCAGAGACTACACTGTACACACTCCTGCAGGGTGGCCAGGCAGGAAGCCTGGGAGGGGCTGGCAAAAAGGTGGGCCTGAAAAACAGATGTGCTCCAGTCCCATGGGGAAGCTGGTCCTGCTTTCTGCTAGTCTGGTGAATAGCTGAGGCCGGATCCTCTCAAAGGGAGACAGGGAGCCCTGAGGAATGGGCACCCATGGTCAGGCTCTGCCGAAGATATCCCATGGACAAGGATTCCCAGCTCTGTAACTGATGAAGCCCTGTCTCCATCTAATATCTGGCAACATTCCCCCTCCCAGTTCAAATGTCTGGGGATGGGGAGTGTGGGGTTCCCTGCAGCTAGGATACCAGAGGTCTGCAGCAAGAATGGGCAGTCTCACAGCCCCTTCCCTCATCTCTTCCCAATCTCTTCCCCAGGAGCTGATAAGGATCAGGAATGAGCCCTAGTGTCCAGGCACCCCAGGCAGGGTTCACAGACTCCTCCCTCTTCAGAATTGGCACCTGCAGCTTTCCTCCATCCACATTTGGCATTTTCTCTCAGATTTGTTCAAATTTTGTTGATTTAGTCAAAATTTTGGTCTCTCTAAATGACAGTAGCACATCTTGATGGCATCTAGTAGGCCATCTTGAAACTACTCTTGATGAACATTTCACAGGCACTTTGTATACCTTTTGCCATGTCGGATGAAGTATATGACAAAGGTCAAACAGGTCAGAAAGGTAGATCAATTTTTTCAAATTATTGAAATGCATACTGATATTTTGTCTGCTTGTTCTATCAGTTACTGAGAGAGATGGTTATGATCACTAGCTATAATACTAGATACTTAAAGTTTTAAAAAATATATTTTAATGGATTTTATCTTATGCACACTAGAAAAAATTCTGTTATATATTTGATATATTTGAGATTATGATATATTCTTGATAACTCGGACTTTTACCATTATGAAATACTTCTTGTTCTAGAAATATTTATCAAATTTTACATAATATTTGAATTATGAATACAAATTTTAAAACTCAATTAACAATTACTTTTATTTTACTTTCATCTTTGAGAAAGACAATACTCATTTTTAAAGATAAACAAAATTAGAGGTTCCCAGAATGGTGAAAACATTGTATATGACAAGATTATATTTTCATATATTTAAATTAAATTAGATATTATAATATATAACTCATATAAAACATGGCAGAAGTTTTGTTACAAACTTCATGAACTGTTTATTATTTAGGATAAATAAGTCAGTCGGAAAATAGTGTAAAATACTGATATATAATAGTTGCAATAAATGTTCTCAATTATGTTTCTGTAATGGTAGTTTTATCAACAATTGTTTTGGTTATGCTTTATTTTATTTATTATTTACTTATTTTAACTTTTATTTTAAGTTCAGGGGTACATGTGCAGGTTTGTCATATAGGTAAATTTGTGTAACAGAGGTTTGTTGTACAGATTATTTCATCACCCAAATGTTAAGCCTATTATCCAATAGTCATTTTTCTTGATCTTCTCTCTCTTCCTACCCTTCATCCTCAGGTAGGCCCCCATATCTATTGTTTTCCTCTATGTGTTCATGTGTTCTCACCATTTAGCTCCCACTTGTAAGTGGGAACATTCAGTATTTGGTTTTCTCTTCCTGTGTTAGTTTGCTAAGGATAATGACCTCCAACTCCATCTATGTCCTGCAAAGGACATAATCTCATTCTTTTTATGGTTGTGTATACTCCATGGTGTACATGCATCACATTTTCTTTATTCAGTCTACCACTGATGGGCATTTAGGTTGATTCCATGTCTTTGCTATTGTGAGTAGTGCTACATTGAACGTATGCATGTATGTGCCTTTATGATAGAGTGATTTAAATTCCTTTGGGTATATACCAAGTAATGGGTTTGCTAGGTCGAATAGTAGTTCTGGTTTTAGCTCTTTGAGGTATCACCACACTGCTTTCCACAGTGGTTGAACTAATATATACACTCCCAACAACAGTGCATAAGAGTTTCCTTTTCTGCACAATCTTGCCTGTATCTCTTATTGTTTGACTTTATAATAATAGGTATTCTGACTAGTGTGAGATACTATCTCATTGTAGATTTGATATGCATTTCTCTAATAATCAGTGATGTTGAGCTTTTTTTCGTATTCTTCTTGGCCACATCTATGTCTTCTTTTAAAAATGTCTGTTCATGCTCTTTGCCCACTTTTTAATGGGGTTGCTTTTTGCTTGTAAATTTAAGTGTCTCATAGATGCTGGATTTTATACCTTTTTCAGATGTATAGTTGGTAAAAATGTGCTCCCATTTTGTAGGTTGTCTGTTAAATCTGTTGATAGTTTTTTTTTTTTTTTTTTTTTTTTTTGCTGTGCAGAAGCTCTTTAATGTAATTAGATCCTATAGATTGCCTTGGTTATTCAGGCTCTTTATTGTTTCCAGATATATTTGGAACTAGCTTTTCCTAGTTCTATGAAGAATGTCATTGGTAGTTTGATAAAAATAGCATTGAATCTGAACAAAGCTTTGGGCAATATGGCCATTTTGATGATATTGATTCTTACTATCCATGAGCTTGGGATGTTTTTCCATTAGTTTCAGTTATCTTATTTTTTTGAAGAGTGATTTTAATTCTCCTTGTACAGATCTATCACTTCTCTGGTAGCTGTATTCCTAAGTATTTTATTCTTTTTGTAGCAATTGATAATGAGATTGCCTTTCTGATTTGCTTCTCAGCTTGACTGCTTTGTATGTACAAGAATGCTAGTGGTTTTTTACATTAACTTTGTATCCTGAAACTTTGCTGAAGTGGTTTATCAGCTGACGGAGGTTTTGGGCTCATACGATGGGGTTTTCTAGATATGGAATCATGTAGTGTGCAAAAAGAGACAGTTTGACTTCCTCTTTTTCTATTTGGATGCCTCTATTAGTTTCTTTTCTCTGATTGCTGTAGCCAATACTTCCATTACTAAGTTGAAAAGGAGTGATAAGAGTGGTCTCCCTGTCTTATGAAAGTTTTCAAGGGGAATGCTTCCAGTTTTTGCCCATTCAGTGTAATGTTGGTTGGGGGTTTGTCATAGATGGATTTTGTTGTTTTGAGGTATGTTCCTTCAATACCTGATTTACTGAGAGTTTTTAATATGAATGGATGTTGAATTTTATCAAAAGTCTTTTCTATATCTATTGAGATAATCATGTGGTTTTTGCCTTTAGCTCTATTTATGTGATTAATCACATTTATTGATTTGCCTATATTGAACCAGCCATGCTTGGTGTGCTGCTAGATTCAGTTTGCTATTATTTATTTTTTCTTGAGAATTTTTGCATTGATATTCATCAATATTGTTAGCCTGAAGATTTTGTTGTTGTTGTGTCTCTACCAGGTTTTTGTATCGGGATAATGCTGGCCTCATAGAATAAGTTATGGAGGTTTCAGCAGAAATGGTACCAGCTCTTCTTTAAACATCTGGTAGAATTTGGCTGTGAATTCATCTGGTCTTGGGATTTTCTTGGTTGATAGGCTATTTATTATTGATTCAGTTTTGAAACTCATGATTGTTCTGTTCAGGGATTCAGTTTCTTCCTGGTTCAGTTTTGGGAGCAGGTATGTATCTAGGAATTTATCCATGTCTTCTAGGTTTTCTAGTTTGTGTTCATAGAGGTTTTCATTATATTTTCTGATGGTTACTTGTATTTCTGTGGGGTCAGTGGTATTATCTCCTTTGTGGTTTTTAGTTGTGTTTATTTGGATTGTCTCTCTTTTCTTCTTTGTTAGTCTAGCTAATAATCTATCTATTTTATTAATTTTTAAAATAAAACCAACTTCTGGATCTTTTGAGTGGTTTCTCATGTCTCAGTCTCCTTCAGTTCAGCTCTCATTTTGGTTATTTCTTGTCTTCTGCTAGTTTTGTGGTTAGTTTGTGCTTCGTTCTAGTTATTTTAGCAGTGATGTTAGGTTATTAAATTTAATCTTTCTAATTTTTTAAATGTGGGTATTTAGTACTATAAATTTCTCTCTTGACACTGCCTTGGCTGTGTCCCAGAGATTCTGGTATGTGGTTTGTGTGCTGTCATTAGTTTCAAAAGACTTTTTGGTTGCTGCCTGAATATCACCATTTACCCAAAAGTCATTCAGGAGCATGTTATTCAATTCCATGTAATTTTATGGTTTTGAATGATTTTCTAAATCTTGATTTCTAATATTAATGTGCTGTGATTCAAAAGAATGGTTTGTATGATATCAGTTATTTTGCATTTGCTGAGGATTACTTTATGTCCAACTGTGTGGTTGATTTTAGAATATGTGCCATGTGGCAATGAGAAGAATGCATATTCTGTTGGTTTTGGGTGGAGAGTTCTGTAGATGTCTATTAAGTCAATTTGGGTGCTGAGTGCAGTTCCTAAATATCTTTGTTAATATTATGCCTTGATGATCTGCATAATATTGTCAGTAGGGTGTTTAAATCTCCCACTATTATTGTGTGGGAATCTAAGTCTCTTTGAAGCCCTTCAAGAACTTACCATACGAATCTGGGTGCTCCTTGTTGGGTGCATATAAATTTAGGCTAGTTAGGTTTTCTTGTTAAACATTTTACTATTATGTAATGCCATTTTTTTCTTTTTTTATCTTTGTTGGGTCAAAGTTCTATGTTGTCTGAAATTATAATAAGGACCCATGATTTTTTATGTTTTCCATTTGCTTGGTAGATTTTTACCCATATTTTTATTTTGAGCCTAAGGGTGTCATTGCATGTGAGATGGGTCTCTTGAAGAAAGCATATCATTGGGTCTTGGTTCTTCATCCAGCTTGCCACTCTGTGCCTTTTAATTGGGGGCATTTAGCCCACTTACATTCAAGGTTAATATTGATATTTGTGCATTTGATCTTCATCATGATTTTAGGTAGATATTAGTATTTATGAATTTGATCTTCATCATGATGTTAGGTGTTTGTTATTCAGACTTGTTTCTATGGTTGCTTTATATTGTCACTTGTCTGTATATTTAAGTGTGTTTTTGCAGTGGCTGGTAATGGTTTTGCCTTTACATTTTTAGTGCTTCTTTCAGGAGCTTTTGTAAGGCCAGTCTGATAATAATGAATTCCCTGAGCATTTGCTTACCTGAAAAGGATCTTTTTTTCCCCCTTGCTTATGAAGCTTAGTTTGGTTGGATATGAAATTCTTGGTTGGAATTTCTTTTTTTTTAAGAATGTTCAATATTGGCCCCCAATCTCTTCTGGCTTGTAAGGTTTCTGCAGAGAGACCTGCTATTAGTCTGATGAGCTTCCCTTTGTAGCTGACCTGACCTTTCTTTCTAGCTGCCTTTAACAGTTTTTTCTTTCATTTTGACCATGGAAAGTCTGATAATTATGTTTCTTGGAGCTGATCTTGTGAAGTATCTTACTGGGGTTCTCTGCATTTCCTGAATTTGAATGTTGACATTTATAGCTAGTTTGGAGAATTCTCATTGGTGATATTCTGAAACAGGTTTTCAAGGTTGCTTCTATTCTCATCTCTTTCAGGGACACCAATGAGTTTTAGATATAATTTCTTTTCATAATTCCATATTTTTCTTAATTTTTTCTTCATTCTTTTTTGTTCTTTTTCTCTATTGTTGTCTGACTGTCTTATTTCAGAAAACCAGTCATTAAGCTCTAAAAGTCTTTCTTCAGTTTGGTCTACTATTACCTGTGATAGCATTATGAATTTATAGTAGTGGTTTTTTTGTTTTGTTTTGTTTTGTTTGAGACGGAGTCTCGCTCTGTTGTCAAGGCTGGAGTGCAGTGGCGTGATCTTGGCTCACTGCAAGCTCCGCCTCCCAGGTTCACGCCTTTCTCCTGCCTCAGCCTCCTGAGTAGCTGGGACTACAGGTGCCCGACACCATGCCCCACTAATTTTTTGTATTTTTAGTACAGACAGCAATTCACCATGCTAGCCAGGATGGTCTCGATCTCCTGACTTTGTGATCCACCTGCCTCAGCCTCCCAAAGTGCTGAGATTACAGGCGTGAGCCACTGCGCCTGGCCAGTAGTGTGTTTTTTAGCTCTGTCAGATAAGTTACATCCTTTTCTATAGCGGCTATTTTGTCTGTCAGCTCCTGTATTGTTTTATTGTGATTCTTGGCTTCCTTGGACTGGATTTTTTTTTTTTTTTTTTGAGATAAAGTCTCACTGTCCCCCAGGCTGGAATGCAGTGGAATCATCTTGGCTCACTGCAACTTCTGCCTCCTGGGTTCACGCAATTCTCCTGCATCAGCCTCCTGAGTACCTGGGACTACAGGTGCATGCCATCACTCCAAGCTAATTTATTATTATTATTATTATTATTATTATTATTATTTGGTGGAGATGGGGTTTCACCATGTTGCCAAGGTTGGTCTCGAACTCCTGACTTCAAGTGATCCTCCCACCTTGGCCTCCCAGAGTGCTTGGATTACAAGCGTGAACCACCATGCCTGGCCCCTTGGATTAGATTTTTATATACTCTTGCATCTGATGATTTTCATTCCTATCCATATTCAGAATTCTATTTGTAATTTCAGCCATCTGAGCCTGGTTCAGAACCCTTGCTCAAAAGCTAGTGTTCTTATAAGAAGGAAAGAAGGCACTCTGGTTTTTTGAGTTGTCAGAGTTCTTGTGCTGATTTTCTCTTATCATTGTGAAATGATGCTTCTTCAATCTTTGAAGTTGCTCTCTTTGTTTTTCTTTCTTCTTTTATCTTATTTGATGACCTTGTGGGTTGAATTGTGGTATAAGGTTGGTTCCATTGACTGGATTCATTTCTGGAACATTTTAGGGGGCTAAGGGTCAGTTCACAACTCCTGTACTGCATGCTGTAGATTGGGGAATTTGTTTGGGCCCTGACTTTGTTCTCCAACTCCTTGACCTTAAGGACCCACTCCAATGGGGGTGACAAAATATTCCTAGTCCCAGCACTTCAATGGATGATGCCAGCCAAAGGGTGGTGGCAGCAAGATCTGTCCTCTTTCACACATGTCAACAGCAGCAAGCATGGCTATGGCAGAGTTCACACTTAACAGCTGTGTCAGGGTGCTAGCAGGTATCAGGGTGCTGGCCTCCATGGCGTGTTAGCCCCAACATTGGAGGCAGCACAGTTGAGGAGTACCCCACTGGTGACTGTACATATGGTTGCATTGCTAGTGGTGTTTGAATGGGGCTAGGGCATTGCATTCACAGGACTGTATACACCCTCTGTGAGCATTCACAGAGGCAGAGGTGGCTGCTTAGGGTAGGGGAGGGTCCACTGTTCTCACTCCAGCAGCAGTGTTGGTGCAGGGGCAGGGTGCTTGTGGAGGAAGGGTTTTGGTGGGCTCTGTGCCCACCAAAGCTTTGACTCCAATGTTGGTATGACAGGGGAGGTGGGGGCAGAATGCACTCCCACTGCCAGAAGGGGCAGGGCAGGCACATGGGCACATGCACGCTGTTAGAGCAGGGAAGGCAAGGTCTGCCCACACACATGCTCTGGGAAAGCCATGTGGGGCTTGGCCACAGGTCTGAGGAAGGTGTAGTTGTGCAGTTGAGAGATGGAATGGGCAGGCTGGTGCATGGCTGCAAATGCCACCTTGCTAAAACTCTCTGCCAGTCAGACATGGTCAGCAAGTAGAAGAGCTATGATGCAGGCCCTTAGTATACTCAAGGCTGCAATGAAAGCAAGTACAGCCAAGCTTGGACCCTGGTAGAAGCCAGCAAACCAACAGATGCTCAGGTCAGACCAGCCTCATGTGATGGTCAAGAACCACCCTGCAGAGTTCAGGTGTGAAAGTTTCCCTATGGCTAAAGCCTCTTCTGGGAGCAAGTCAAGCCTTGGGGGAAAGGTATCTATGGCTGTGCTTCAATACAGGTACTCTCACACCAAACCCTCTGGGTTCCCTGTTGCCCCTACCACTTCTCTGAGCAATTCTCCCTGTTGACTCAACTGTCTGTGGTGGTTGAGGGATCTCCTCCTGCCAGCATTCCTGAGATCCATGGCAAAAATTAGTTGCTCTTTGCCAGTTCAACTCACCTGTTCCCCTGGAGCCATTGGGGGCCACTATTAAGTTCCAGTGCATGGCAGCCTTCTTTCAGGGTTCCTGGCTTCCTCCACCTTCAGCCCAGCTTTTGTTTCTTCCCTGCATCCACTCTCTGTGCCTTCCCTCTGAAGATCTGATAGGAAAGCTCCAATTGTCCTAGTCCCTTGTTGGCAGCTGTTCCACCTGGCTGCATCTAGTTGACCATCTTTCCCAGCTCAGTTATGTTTTAATAATATGATTTTACAGTATGAAATCGAATTTAATAAATAATTTGAATGAGTTAAGTAGGTGATTTGAACATTTTTTTCAAGCATTGTGCCTCTAGATTTTTTTTTTAATTATACCTTAAGTTCTGGGATACATGTGCAGAATGAGCAGATTTGTTATATATATATGTGTGTGTGTGTGTGTGTGTGTGTGTGTGTGTGTGTGTGTGTGTGTATATGCCATGGTGGTTTGCTGTATTCATCAACCCAACATCTACATTAAATAGTTCTCCTAATGCTATCCCTCCCCTTGCCCTCCACCCCCTGACAAGCCCTGGTCTGTGATGTTCCCCTCACTTATGAGTGAGAACATGCAGTGTTTGGTTCTCTGTGTCTGTGTTAGTTTGCTGTGAATGATGGTTTCAGCTTCATCCATGTCCCTGTAAAGGACATGAACTCATCCTTTTTTATGGCTGCATAGTATTCCATGGTGTATATGTGCTATATTTTATTTATCCAGTCTATCATTAATGGGCATTTGGTTGGTTCCAACTCTTTGCTATTGTGAATAGTGCTCCAAAAAAAAGTGTGTGCATGTGTCTTTATAGTAGAATGGTTTATAATCCTTTGGGTATATACCCAGTAATCGAATTGCTGGGTCAAATGGTATTTCTAATTCTAGATCCTTGAAAAATCTTCACTCTGTCTTCCACAATGGTTGAACTAATTTACACTCCCATAACAGTGTAAAATCGTTCCTCTTTCTCCACATCCTCTCCCGCATCTGTTGTTTCCTGACTTTTTTATGATTGCCATTCTAACTGGTGTGAGATGGTATCTCATTTTGGTTTTGATTTCCATTTCTCCAATGACCAGTAATGATGAGCTTTTTTTCATATGTTTGTTGGCCACATAAATGTCTTCTTTTGAAAAGTGTCTGTTCGTATCCTTCACCCACTTTTTTTGGGGTTGTTGGTTTTTTCCTTCAAAATTTGTTTAAGTTTCTTGTAGATTCTGGATGTTGTCCCTTTGTCAGATGGATAGATTGTGAAATTTTTCTCCCATTCTGTAGGTTGCCTGTTCACTCTGATGATAGTTTCTTTTGGTGTTCAGAAGCTCTTCAGTTTAATTAGATCCCATTTGTCAATTTTGGCTTTTGTTGCCATTGCTTTTGGTGTTCGACTCATGAAATCTTTGCCCATACCTATGTCCTGAATGGTATTGCATATGTTTTCTTATAGGCTTTTTATAGTTTTAGGTTTTATATTTAAGTCTTTAATCCATCTTGAGTTAATTTTTGTAAAAAGTGTAAGGAAGGGGCCCAGTTTTAGTTTTCTGCCTATAGCTAGCCAGTTTTCTCAACACCAGTTTTTAAATAGGGAATCCTTTCCCCATTGCTTGTTTTTATCAGGTTTGTCAAAGATCAGATGGTTGTAGATGTGTGGTGTTATTTCTCAGGTCTCTGTTCTGTTCCATTGGTCTGTACATCTGTTTTGGTACAAGTACCATGCTGCTTTGGTTAATGTAGCCTTGTAGTATAGTTTGAAGTCAGGTAGCATGATGCCTCCAGCTTTGTTCTTTTTGCTTAGGATTGTCTTGGCTATACGGGCTGTTTTTTGGTTCCATATGAAATTTAAAGTAGTTTTTTCTCATTCTGTGAAGAAAGTCAATGGTAGCTTGAAGGGGATAGCATTGAATCTATAAATTACTTTGGGAAGTGTGGCCATTTTCACAATATGGATCCTTCCTATCCATAAGCATGGAATGTTTTTCCATTTGTTTGTGTCCTCTCTTATTTCCTTGAGCAATGGTATGTAGTTCTCCTTGAAGAGGTCCTTCACATCCCTTGTAAGTTGTATTCCTAGGTATTTTATTCTCTTAGTAGCAATCGTGAATGAGACTTCACTCATGATTTGGCTCTCTCTTTGTCTATTATCGGTGTATAGCAATGCTTGTGGATTTTGCACATTGATTTTGTGTCCTGAGACTTTGCTGAAGTTGCTTATGAGCTTAAGGAGTTTTTGGGCTGAGATGATGAGGCTTTCTAAGTATGCAATCCTGTCATCTGCAGACAAAGACAATTTGACTTCATCTGTTCCTATTTGAATATGCTTTATGTTTTTCTCTTGCCTGATTGCCCTGGCCAGAACTTTCAATACTGTGTTAAATAGGAGTGGTGAGATAGGGCATCCTTGTCTTGTGCCAGTTTTCCAAGGGAATGCTTCCCGCTTTTGCCCATTATTATGATATTGGCTGTGGGTTTGTCATAAATAGCTCTTATTATTTTGAGGTACATTCCTTCAGTACCTAGTTTATTGAATGTTTTTAGCATGAAGAGGTGTGGAATTTTATTGAAAGCCTTGTCTTCATCTATTGTGGTAATCATGTTGTTTTTGTCATTGGTTCTGTTTATGTGATGGATTATGTTTATGATTTGCATATGTTGAACCAGCCTTGCATCCCAGGGATGAAGCCAACTTGATTGTGGTGGATAACCTTTTTAATATGCTGCTGGATTTGGTTTGCCAGTATTTTATTAAGGATTTTCACATTGATGTTCATCAGGGATATTGGCCTGAAATTCTCTTTTTTTGTTGTTTTTGTCTCTGCCAGGTTTTGGAATCAATATGATACTGGCCTCATAAAAAGAATTAGGGAGGATTCCCTTTTAAAAAATTGTTTGGAATAGTTTCAAAAGGAATGGTACCAGCTCCTCTTTGTACCTCTGGTAGAATTTGGCTGTGTATCCTTCTGGTCCTGGGCTTTTTTTTGGTTAACAGGCTATTAATTACTGCCTCAATTTCAGGACTTGTTATTGGTCTATTCAGGGATTTGACTTCTTCCTGGTTTAGTCTTGGGTGGGTGTATGTGTCCAGGAATTTATCCATTTCTTCTAGATTTTCTAGTTTATTTGTGTGGGGGTATTTATAGTATTCTCTGATTGTAGTTTGTATTTCTGTGGGATCAGTGATGATATCTCCTGTATCTTTTTTTATTTTGTCTATTTGATTCTTCTCTCTTTTCTTCTTTGTTAGTCTTTCTAGCGGTCTATTTTCTTTATCTTTTCCAAAAAACTAGCTCCTGGATTCATTGATTTGTTTGAGGGGTTTTTCGTGTCTCTATCTCCTTCAGTTCTGCTCTGATCTCAAGTTATTTCTTGTCTTCTGCTAGTATTTGAATTTGTTTGCTTTTGCTTCTTTAGTACTTTTAATTGTGATGTTAGGGTCTCAATTTTAGATCTTTCCTGCTTTTTCCTGTGGGCATTTAGTGGTATAAATTTCCCTCTAAACACTTCCTTAGTTCTGTCCCAGAGATTGTGGTATGTTGCATCTTTGTTCTCATTGGTTTCAAAGAGCTTATTTATTTCTGCCTTCATTTTGTTATTTACCCAGTAATCATTTAGGAGCAGGATGCTCAGTTTCTATATAGTGGTGTAGTTTTGAATGAGTTTCTTAATCCCGAGTTCTAATTTGATTGCACTGTGGTCTGAGAGACTGTTTGTTATGACTTTCATTCTTTTGCATTTGCTGAGGAGTGTTTTACTTCCAATTATGTGGTCAATTTTAGAATAAGTGCTATGTGGTGCTGAGAAGAATATGTATTCCTTTGATTTGGGGTGGAGAGTTCTGCAATGGTCTATTAGATCCACTTGGTCCAGAGCTTAGTTCAAGTTCCTTAGTATCCTTGCTAATTTCTGTCTTGTTGATCTGTCTAATATTGACAGTGTGGTGTTACAATCTCCCACTATTATTGTGTGAGAGTCTAAGTCTCTTTGTAGGTCCTTAAGAACTTGTTTTATGAATCTGGGTGCTCCTGTATTGGGTGCATATATGTTTAGGATAGTTAGTGCTTCTTGTTGCATTGTTCCCTTTGCCATTATGTAATGCCCTTATTTTTCTTTTTTGGTCTTTGTTGGTTATAGTCTGTTTTATCAGACACTAGGATTGCAACCCTTGCTTTTTTTTTTTTTTTTTTTTTTTGCTTTTCATTTGCTTGCTAAATCTTCCTCCATCCCTGTATTTTGAGCCTATGCGTGTCTTTGGATTTCAAACACTTAGCTAACAGCTTCTCTTAATTAACATACTCTCTCATAGTAGGATCTATTTTGTCTGTTTTGATGATTTATGCTTATTTTGAGTACCAGCTGTTCATCTCGATTCCAGTCTCACAACTCCCTTTTTCTGCAAGTGAATTTAACTTGGAATTAGCTATCACTTTAATGAATAGAAGTGAGCTAGAGGGGGTTTCTATTATTTTCTATCAAAATAAATTCACTTAATGTATAAGAATGAACTTACTTCTCCATATCTCACCCCAACTTTCCTGTCCCCTATACTGTACAGCTGTAGATGGAGAGAAATATATCTTATGTTAATTGTATACCCTCCAAGAATGTACCACAATTATCTACATATGGAATGCCATCAATATGTGAATTTTAATTGAATTAATAATAGAATGAGTAAATTGTCACTTAATTTTTATTATGCTTTATGAGCATCATATTTGTTCATTTATGATGGAATTAATGTCACTAGGACTCAGACCATATCTTAGAAAGTGAAGGCAAAATAAATACTGCTTTATTTAAATCAAATATCTGGAGAACTGGATAATGAATCTCTCATTTCTGCTTCATGCTTCCATTATTCCAGCTTATGTCCTCATTTTTGGAGAAAAGTTTATTAAGTTATTAAGTAACTTCAGTGGGCCCATTGGTGTGTTCTTTGGCTAACATGTAATTAATTCTACACTGGATAAGTAAATAAAATTTTTATTTGATGTCTCAAGCAGGTGGGGTTCATAATATATTTCAAGGGAGGTCAGCTGTTACTAAATTTCATATTTTCTCTATTGCTAATATTTCCTGATCCTGGAAAGCCTTATGCCATCCATTCATTTGTTGTAAATCAGTGGCTCCATTCAGTTCCCTGGTGTCCTAGGAATAAATTTGAATTTATTCTGAGATAAGCCTCTTTCCTATATGGTTCATATATTGTTTTATATTAAATAATAGCAATATACGTATATCTAGTATGCTATAAACATCAAGCAGTTTTTAAAAATCTTAATTTATATAGCATTCTTTATTTTTCATACTAAAAATACAGTAGGTGGGCATAAACATGGCTATGGTTTTTTAATCAACCCAGTGTGACCAAAGTAAAAAATAAAAACGTAATTTGTATCCTATAAAGAAAATCTATCCAGAAAACATCAGTCGGTAAAATAAAATTTTAATGAGTTAAAGCATAACTACTTTCTTCATTTCTTTTTGACAGAAAAGTTTTCTAGGATTTCAATGCAAAATTCCCTTGATAACGATTTAGAGTGAATGGACTCTTAAGGGCCGTTTAATATATTGAGTTATGTGTTCATTTCTGGCTTATTATCAGCCTTTCATGGCACAATTCAATATTCAAATGAGAGATCAGATCCAATATTTATTCCACCATTGTTTGCTCATTTGGATATCATGAGATGTCAATAAGCACAAGGTTGTGATTTTACTCTTGGTGGATTACATCATTTTTAAATTCTCTTCCAGAGCTGCAATCTCGTAATAAATAAGTGGCTCCATCCCATAGAATTTTAAAATCTGAGACTAGTAAGGGTCTTCCTACTATTCCCAACCATGAGACCCTCTCCACAACATGCAGTTTGTTGATTTCTGTCTTCTCTCACCCTTAGTTTTTCTCTTTAAAGGAATTACCTGATTAGATTAGACCAATCACTTTCAAGGGGAGGGGATTATGCAAGGTGCACACACCATGAGGTGATAATCTTAGAGGTCATGTTAGAATTCCTCCTACCAAATTGAATCTAGAACATGGGATTCTTCATTCCCAGTCCAAGTGTTTTTATCTTTTATATCAAGAATTATTCATTCACCCAAGACATATCTCTATAACATTGTGATTTTATTTAGAGGAAAAGTGAGACATTTAGAGATAAGCAGAGAGATTCATTTAGAGGCATTAAACATCATTCGAAGTTGAACAACTACATATCCATGTAATTGTTCTCATCCCAATGTCTTTTAGATTTTAGTTCTTTATAACGTAATTACAGTTCACACAGTTGTCCCAAAATTTATATGAACTTACATCATCTAGGATTAGTAAATCCAAAATGTGTATCTGAGATGGCCACTACTGACTGCCATTGTTACTCAGGTCAGGCACCACATAGCCTGTTCTTCAAATGCTGCTTTGATCATGCTATCTACTGATGAGGTCAGAGAGCAGTAGACTTGAAAAGAAGTTGTGGTAACAATAGATTGGGTCTCAAAACTACAGGTACAGTGAACTCTAGTTACTCCCAAGTATTTCCAGGAGTGTTACAAATAGATCACAAAATTCAGCTTTCTCTAGCCTTTGATCAAAATCAAAAACTTCTTCCCTGGAGGTCAGCAATCTGTTGTCACAAGGTCATTTATGGAGTCTTAAGTTCTATCAATATCTGAACTTGTGCCAAAATGCTTTAGGGAAAAAGTGATTTTTTTTTTTTAAAGAAAGTGTTTCACACTGAGCTATTCTGAAGATATATTTCCTTCTAATAGTTTTAGTAAAGTATATAATATTTGAGTAATTATTTGTTATCTGTGCTCAAATTCTCTATTTAAAAATGAAGAAGTTTCTCTCACAATGTCATCATTTGTATTGAATTATTTCCTTTACACCAGAATGACAATTGGAAAATTAGCATTTGCCAATTGTTTATTACAGTTGATGTCCTACTAATAAAAAGATATTGTCTAGTCCTCACTCAGTCCCTGCAACAAGCATTATGTTTTATACCTGCTGATTCAGGTCAACTTGGTTACAAATACATCAGGAAAAAGTTAGGGAAAAGTCTGTCCTTTCTGCTACTTTCCCCTCCTATTCTTTCATTGAATGCCATGCATTCCTAGACCTTTGTAGACTACTTGATTTGTCTAATGTCAGCTGTAGACTAATATTTGATGACTTATTCTTCAGCACCCTGACTTTTCTGTGACAACTCTCATGGCTTAGTTTTAACTGAGATCTATCTTCTACCTGATATCACTTGCCACAAACACGTTTCAGTGGATTGGTCGCCTCCCAACTCAGTAAAGAAGGTAAAACTTGTACATGTGAGAAAGTAATATCTCAGGACCAGATCACAGCTGCACCATCATTTCATAGTATTATTAATTCAGAGTGCACAGTGTTTTGTTGAAATATATAGTAAAAAGATACAAATTAGATGTATTTCCAGATTCTAGATTTTAAAATATCCCATATATTACCTTTTATTTAGAAAAACTAAAGGAACTTTTAGTTCTTTCAGTTTTTTATTTTTCATACTTAATATTACTTAAATATCAAATATTTAGATTTGATTAAATATTAAATATTTTTAATTAATTTTATTAACATTTTTATTTTATTTTATTATAATTTATTTAATATTTTATTTTATTAATATTTCATTAATATTTTAATTAATATTAAATAAAATATTTGATATTTTATTGAATTTTAAAATATTTTTATTAAGAACTTAATATGTCTGATATATTTGGTATATCAGTATATTAAATATTTTATTTAATATTTTATTTAATTTTATATTTTAACATATTTTAACATTTAATATTATTTTAACATTATTTAATATTTTAATTAAGAACTCAATATGTCTGATATACCTAGTATACCAGTTGATATTGTGTTTACCTTTATTTGACAGATATAAACCCTCAATGACTATGGCTTAAGCAAACTAGGCAATCGAGGGCTTGTAAGATGCCATATGGCATCAGAGATGCATAAATATATTTCTTAATTCTCTGCCTTATTCCACATATATTTGCCTCTTCATGGTCCAAAAAGGATTTCCAAGTGCTAGTTTTTAAACTCACATCCCATACCACAAAGTAGCAAAGATGCAGAAGGGTGCCGCCCTCTTTCTAAGATCACTTCTTAGCTGCAGCATGTCTGCTTCCACCCTGTTGACGAGTTTGGTTGCATTGTCAAATCTATCAGTAAAAATGTCTGGGAAATATAGTCTTCTTTCTAGATAAAGATATGCCAAGATGATGTATTCTAATATTAAAAAAATAAAAAAATATATTGTGAACAATTTGTTGTCTCTGAAACATCTGAACTATTTAAAAAACTATGTAACAAACATTGTATCTATAGCTTTCTCTGTCAAGTTCAGCACTACAACGTTGTCTGGTTAATCTTCTATGAGCAAATAAGTCAGTTACTGAACAAACATACTTATCTACTCTGAAAAAAAAATAACTAAAAACTAACTCAACATTTTATCCAAAATAGATTATTCTCTAAGTAGCCTCTGTAATTTTACTCATAATGTTAACTTCTGTAATGCCCAGTACTTACCTTTGGGCAAACTGTAATTTCATAGACCTTTTTGGCCCTATTGCCCTTAATGTAGCTCTTTCTGACTGCGTTAATTTATAGCTATCTATCCTATCTGAAATACTGTGGTACTCTACATTTTTCTCATAGAGTTCTCAAGAATTATTTTTATGGGAATCATTTATTATCCATCATATTTCCACTACTTGATTGTAAGAATTTTGAGAGCATGGTTTATGTCTTATTTATTTTTATAACTTCTACAGAATTGGGAACATCATGAATTACTATTTGTTAAGTAGCACTTGTACACATAAGTGTTCTCTAAATATTAGTTGAGGAAATAAATTTATAAATAAATGAATAGTTATGTTCTGTATGCACATGGTGGGTTATCTAATTCTAATTTATATGCATATTGTATTTGGTTGTTTTGTGGTATGATGACACAAAAACAATTTTCAATTGCATATATAGATTCCAAAAAATATATATTATATACATCATATAAGTTATAAAATATATATATTCCAATTTAAAATCAATCTATATAGACCTTAGGTAAAAATTCACTTTTAACTTGAAGATTCATTTTATTGGAATTTCTCTTTAGTAAGCATTTTTATTCCTGTATTTTTATCTATCTATCTAATTATTGAAGGTCACATGACTTTCATTTCCCATACTCTCTTTAATTAATTTATGGAGTCCCCTGTAGTTCATAAACTGGAATTCTGTTTCACAGAATTTGGGAGGATGGATTTCCTTTATTCACTCTTGCAGTTTCACTGTGGATGGGTATCATCTACTCTTACCCTGGAGGGAATGGCTTTCATAGAAAACCTCTGGAGGGCAGTGGGTTGATCTTGGCTCACTGCAACCTCTGCCTCCTGGGTTCAAGTGATTCTCCTGACTCAGCCTCCCAAGTAGCTGGGATGACAGGCACCCACCACAACTCCCAGCTAGTTTTCGTATTTTTAGTAGAGACAGGCTTTCAGAATGTTGGCCAGCCTTGTCTCAACCTCCTGACCTCAACTGATCCTCCTGCCTCAGCCTCTCAAGTTGCTGGGATTACAGGCGTGAGCCACTGCACCAGAAGAATATTTTAAATAAAAAAATTTCACAGTGTTAAATCTAAGACCATGTAATACAAGCAAGACAGTTGAAGCCTTTTTTCCCCTTTGTTTTCCTTATTCTTTCCTTGTTGGTTTTTGTATGTTTTAGTTTTGTTTAGTTTGTTTTTAGTTTTGTTTTTCCTGGGTGGTCTAGTCTACTCTACTTGTTACTAAAGTTATTAGAACTGAAACTAAATAAATGTATTAATTTTACCGAGTGAGTTTTTTTGAGGTTGCTGATAGGTTTTTAAACTTTAATACTCAGAAATACACAGTTTGCTATACATTCGTTTTTATTATTGCAGTGAGCCGAGATCAACCCCCTGTCCTCTAGTCTGGATGACAGAATGAGACTCCATCTCAAAAAAAAAAAATTCTGAATTTTATAATAAAAATGTATGTCTTTCAGTATTTAACATTTAATAGACACTTATCAAGTTTTTAAAATCTGTGTAAGGCAATATGCTAGCTGGTAAGTAACCAAGGAATAAAATGATGTGATCCATATTCTCTAGGAACTCATAGTTTATTGGAGAGATGTATCCAAATCACGGGAAACACACATAACAGCTTTGCCACTATAAATCAATAACATTTAAAAGAATACGTCTTAGGATTCTGAAGAAAAATTATTGGTACTCCAAATGAAAAGTGTACCACAGTGAGGGGATTGAGTTTATTCTTCTTAGTGTGGCAGAGCTCTATCATAAGCCCATAGTTTCAGCATTGAGAAGCCGCATTACATACTAGAATAGACCAAGCCAAAGGGAACTGTAAATATGAAATATTTGCCTCAGGATCGTTTTACCAAAGTTAATGGGAAAAACACAGACTCAAAATAATCTCTGATCCTCTTGGCATCGCATATCTTCTAAGTTTTTTATGATGTTGTATCACGGGACTACCAAACTTACAATAATTAGCAGATAGGTTTAATACATAAGATAGTATTTCTAAGAATATTTGAGTAGATGTTAAAGAAATCCAAAGAAAATGTAAAGAACAAGTGCCAAGTTTGAACATCTATAACCTTAATCAGAGATAAACGGAAAGTAAAACAGAGACTACAAAGATTATTAGACTGTTGAAAAGATTCTGCAATATAAAAGTATAAAAATAAACCACTTATTAAAAAGAACATATTTTAAAACATTTACTCTTGTCACTTGTAGCAGATGGATAGAACCACACAGCATTATGTTAAGTGAAATAAGCCAGGCATAGAAAGACAAATATCACATGTTGTTACTCATATGTGTGAGCTAAAACAATGATCTCATAGAAGTAGAGAGTAAATGATGATTACCAGAGGGTGGGAAGGGTGGTGGAAAGCGGGGAATAGAGAGGGGCTGGTTAATGGTTGTAGAAGTACAGTTAGAATGAACAGTATCTAGTGTTCAGTAGCACAATAGGGTAATTTTAATTTACAGATGTTTAATTTACAATAATTTATTGTACATTTGAAATAACTAGAGGGGTGGAATTGTAATTTTCCTAACACAAAGAAATAATAAGTGTTTGAAGTGAAGAATATCCCAATTACCCTGATTTGATTATTACAAATGTATGCTTGTGTCAAAATGTCACATGGACCTCCAAAATATGTATAACTATTATGTAGTCATACAAACATAAAATTATAAAAATATATATTTATAATAGGAAGCAGAAATAAATGGATACTTTAACCAATTTAACTTCATTTCATGTTATTTCTATGAAATAAAAGAAATTGCATATAATAAATTAAAACATGGCTTAAAAAAATGACTGGGAAATAAATGTAAAAATAAATTGGGTGAGAAATATAAAATGTGTGAGTCAATTAATAACCCAATTGGAGAATTAAAGATAATGCAAGAAATGAAGAGTGCATTTGGTACTATAAGTAATGGGCAATCAATTATGCAGAGTATATACCAGTCAGAGGAACTGAAAAATGTGATTAAAAGGGTCAGACAGAAATGAAAGCTCTGAAGACTACAGAAGAGCAGCTCAAGATACAAATAATATACTCTTCCCCAAAAGAAAAATTGTATGAGTGGAAAATATGAAATAATTGATAACATAATAGCCGAAACTTTCTGAACTGAAAATAGTATTTTCACTACATGACAGGTACTATAAATGAGTTTAAATTACCTTTGTGAAGTTTTAAATATGAGAGTTAAATAAATAATTTTAGAGCTATTTAGACACATGAAACCAAATATATCTAAAGCATGAAACTTCAGATTGACCTCAACTTAATACTACGAGATCATGGAACAACATCTAAAGGCACTTAAAGGGAATAGTTTTTTCCCAAAATAGCTCTTAAATTGTGGTTTCGTGTTTGATAACAACAAAACAGAATCTGGAGTATTTGCTATGGAAATTTCACCAGTTTGCCTTTTTAAATTTATAAATCAAATATTTAACTTGCAATCATAACAAAAATATTTTATATATGCAAGGAATTATAAATTATGTCACACATGCATTTCTATTGGGAAATAGATTTATTAAATTTATTGAAGGTTTATTGTAGGTAATTGCATTATTTTCCTATAGCGGCCATAATGAATTTTTATAAACTTGGCCTCTTTAATCTAGAAAAATTTATTTTCTCACATTCTAGGGACCCAAAGACCAAAATCAAGGTGTCAGCAGGCCTGCACTCCCTCTGATCTAGAGGGGAATTCTTCCCTGTCTCTTCCAGATTCCAGAGTCACAGCAGCTACTTCTGGCTATGTCACTTTCATCTCTGCCTCTGCCTTTATATGGTCTTCTGCTCTTTTCTCTCTGTCTCCTCTTTTGTCTCTTGTAAGAACACTTGACATTGGACTTAGGGCCCACTCAGATGATCCAGGATGATCTCATCTTGATATCCTAAATGTAATCACATCTGCAAAGATGCTTTTTCCAAATAAGATCACATTAACAGGTACCAGACTTGTCTTTTTGGGGTCCAACATTCAACTCATTATGTGAACCAAAAGATGAAATTAAATATTTAATTAAAGAAAAACTATGTCATAAAGCTATTACAAATTTAAAATGTGTTCAAAAATTTGTGGAAAGACATTGTTGTGCAGCCATGGTAATGAATAGCATTCAGAATTCGTTGTAAATGTATTTAATTATGCAACAACTAGTCTCAGAAAGCTTGATGTTTTAGGCTACCAATTAATGCTAGCTCCTTGTTCCTGAAAGCAAACTAATCAGGAGCAAAATCATACCAATAACCATGTCTTAGATTGCCAACCAGTGAACAATATTCTCACCTGAGTAACCATGCATCTACAGGTGATGTCAACCTACTTACATCTCTGGAAGTGTATGAATTCTTAAACTCCAGTCTTCCCAAAGACCCCGTATATGATGAGCAGTTTGCTCTGCTTGAAGATACAATTCCTAATCATTTCTTAATTATAATATATTCAGAACAAGTAAAGCTTTACTCCCTTTTGGAGAAGTATATTATTAAGTCTTCAGAAAAAAATTTTAAAAGCCTGTATACCCTGAGTCTATTCTTATAATAAGCTTTATTTTTACTTTAATAAATTTAGTACATACATTTTTTGAAGACATTAAAGACAGCTTGTTCCACATAATTGCCTATCATGGTGAAAGATGCTCTTGGTTTTCCAAGTAAAAATTATCAAAGAAAAGAAAACCAATATTTCTAAAATAAAATATTAATTTTCTGCTCTACTTTTCTTAGTTACACCTTTTATTTTCTCCCCTGTGGGAATTTCCCCAAAAGGTTTTCCATGTTTCCTGACAGTACATTTGTTCTGATTCTCAGGATAGGAACTATTGGCTTTGTATATAATTTGTGGATGCACTATTCTGGTTAATAATACATCTAGAGCCTCCTGAAGTCACTTGTGTGTGTCTGATCTACAGACAAGAAAACTAAAAGCTGAAATTTTTTCAAGAACTCTGCTGTCTGTTGTGCCAAAGGGATGAAGTTGATGGCATTTGTTCTTAAATATGACTTAAGCCATGAGTTTAATATTGAGGTCAATTTATTAAATCATACCTAATCCACGATGACATACTCTAATTTTACTAATTCTCCATGGCCTGCTTTTTCCTACTGCAGCCTAATATTTTACAATTATATTGGCCTCCTTTATAATGTATTATATGTAGCAATACAGTGTAATTTATGATACCAGAGCATAAAACATAAGAAGAGTTTTTTTTCTGCTCAAAACATATAATTCAAATTCTCTTTCAACTATAAAATTGAAAGAGAGAGAGAGAATTCATTAATTTGTATTCCTTTTGGTCTCTGAGCACATATCGGAATGGTAATTTGGATATCATGATTTTATTATATTATAGAACTTTTATTTGCCATACAGATACATTTGCATGTTATTAATTTAGAAACTGATAACAGCATTGGTTGTCTATTTAGCAAAAAGACATTTTTTTTTCATTCTTTTTATGGGTGGTAGATTCAACTTTGTGCTTTCATGAAGGTAGAAGAGTGATAGTAATGTTTAGTTCTCAGGCCCAGCTTTTACATAAATATTTAAATTGCCCTCAATAAGAAGCCTTCAAAATAGAAAATGTTATGTGCTATTTCACAAAAGTACGAGAGAACATCACATGGTCAGTATGTCAGGAAGGAATGGGGATAGGTTAGTGCCAACTATTAAGCAGAGAGAGAAAAAATGGATAACTAATTTGTTATCATTGCAAGCATAAAACCTCTTTGCCCTTAGAAATTATTTTTGTTTTATTCTAAGTATTAAGTGAACTGTTTCAATTTATCCTAAAATTATTTTTGTAAATCTACACTTCTTTTTCTTTTTCCTTTTAAATAAAGCAGGAATAATAATAATATTTTACTTGCATACTTGCTCCAAGGTTTAAATAATATAATATTGCATGTCAAGTGCTTTAGAAGACTATCTGTACTGAGATAGGAGACTGGCAGGACTCGTTTTATGGTAACAACCCTGAAGACTAAAACAGGATCTGGTCCAGACAGGACAAAGTGAAGAAACTGGCAGGAATCAGCACATGGCTGACAAAAGTGATCCCTAGCTGCCCTTATTGCTCATTGGCATAAGACCCTCCCACCAGTGCCATGACATTTTACAAATCCTGTTGTAATGACTCAGAGGTTACCACCCCTTTCCATGGCAACAGTCCAGAAGTTACCACCCATTTTCTAGAAAGTTCTACACAACCTGCCCTTTAAGTTGCATTAACCTGCTCCTTAATTTGCATGTTATTGAAAGTGGGTTTAAGTGAGTATAAATACAGTTGTTAAGAGTGCAAACCTTGCTGACTCTGGGTCTACTGCCTAGGAGTTTTTCCTGTTCTTACTACTACTACTACTATTACTACTGCTACTACTACTGCTGCTGCTACTACTACTGCTGCTGCTATTAATACTACTTGGTTTCATCCCCTTTGCTAGTCCCTAAGGTATAATAATACAAAAATCACAAGATATTACTCTACACTTTCAGAATCTCATTGTCTATGACGAAGAAGATATTTCATATATATTGAATATATGCTGTAAAAGCCATCTATACATAGTGCTGTGAAAAGACAGTGAGGAAAGTCACCGTAAGTTCTGAAGGAATAGAAAGTCTCCAAAGAGGAGATAATACTTGATCAAGGTCTTAAAGGATCAGTGAAACTTCTTCAGCAAAGGAATTGTATGTGCTAGAGCATAAAAGCATGAGAAAGCATGATATATTCAAAGCACCAGAAGCACTTAAAACAGCTGTAACATAAAGTTAACTATAGAAGATGAGCAGTATCTATATATGTCTGATTTCTTCATTTCAGAAATAATATTTATTGTAGTGACTTAAAAGCAAAATCATTTATTTAGAGACAATTATGTAGACTATACTCTCGGGGAGGACCAAGACAAGGGGCTACATGTTATGTAGCCAACAGCACAAAAACTGGAAGTTTGCTTGGGTCAAAACAATGTTTAAATGGGTCAAGAGTGTCTCTACTCCAGAGATAGTTCAGGCCCACTACCTGGGCATGACTGATTCCTCTGGAATCTCCACTGAGTGCCTCAGGTAACTACTAATTGCTTTCCACTATGGCTGGATGGAGCAGAACTGTTTTCATTCTCTGTGCTGTGGGAATTGTTTGGCTTCTACTTTCCCGCTATTCTTTACTTAGCTTTGTGGATTTTATTGCTACAGATATGCAGCCTTTTACCCAACAAATTCTAAAAGGAACTCTGTGCATGTTTTTGAAGCTACTTTTCTAAGTAGCCACTTTGTTTCTGGAACTCTCCAGCACAATGTCCAGTCACCTCAGCCTCCCCACCTCTAAGTTACGTCTCCTAGGATTCTGAGATTCAGGATCTGTTGGTCTCTAATTTTGTCCCTTGCTCCACTATCCAGAAACTGCTTCCAGGAAGAAAGTAGAAATATTGTAGAGATCATTGCATTTCTATCATCTCAGGGTTCTCAATCTGGTCCTTCCTGTTTCCAAGTTTCTGAGCAAATATTTTTATATATTTTGCCCATTTTTTCTAGTTCCTCATAGAAGAATAATTATGCTTTTCTTTCTTTTCACTTTTTTTTTATTTTCTTATTCTTTTCTCCCCCCTGCATCAGGGCCTAAGTAAAACTCTTTAGGAAAAGTTTAGGATTTTCCTATACCTTAGGTCTTGCTAAGACATCACAGAGGAAGTATTTCCAAAAGCCCATTCAATTAATCATCTTCTTCAAAATTTCCTGAGGTGCTTATTAAAATGCAGATTCCTACACTCTACCCTAATCTAATACAAATCCTCAGGGGCAGTTCCAAAGTGTCTTTACCCTTAATAATTTACCTCAGATGATTACAAGGCAGAAAATGATTAAAAAGCCCTAGAATAGGATCTAAGTAGGCAAAGATAAAATTAACAGTTTTCCTATATAGGCAATATGAGATGCATATAATTTATTTATAAAATGTTACTGGGAAGTGCAAAATCCTTAATTCTTATCTAATTTTAAAGAAAGAATTCAGCCAAGAGATGCATAACAACAGTTAAATATCAAGGTTTCTTAAAAAAAGATAAAGTGCATTCCCAGAGAGGAGTGGAAAACAGTTCTTGGCTGATCCAGCTGGAAAAATAGTAGTAGTAGTGTGTAGTTAAAGAGAAAGTATACTCTGAAACACAAGACAGAGCGGGCTGCTTGAAAGAATGAACCAGCAGCAGTAGTGCTGGGGGACTCTCTTTATGAGAATTTTACATGATTATTCATGAAGGTGCAAGAAGGAGTGTTACTTGCAAGCATGTTTTAGGAGGTCTCTTTGGGCACGCATGCTCTGTGGTTGTACATACTAGTACACACATTGCATGTCCATTAGCATTTAAAATCTTTACTCAGGGGTATAATTTTTAATACTATAATGAGAAAAAGGCTACTGTAGGGTGAGTTTTTGTGGAGACTGCATGCTCATCAGTGCGGAGAGTCCCTAGTGTGGTTATCTTTGGCTAGGGCATGGTCAGTCCCCTTCAGACCTGGAAGAGCCTAACCACAAGGCCAGATGTAACCAATGTAGCCATTTCCCTTTGTGCTTACTGACAGTGGGCAGCATCTCCAGGACTTCGTTTTCCAGGGGCTTCCTTGCCTGCTTATTTTTGGCTCTTTGTCTATGCTAACAATAATATTAAAACAATTAATGAATCTGGATTTTGAACACCCTAATTTAGGATGCTGTAAATTAAAATGTCAGGAACTTCTTGCTCAGATTGCGAATCATGAAGTTTGGATTGCTATAAAATACCACTTTTAGAAACATTATAATATATGTTGTATGAGACTTGAAATGTGGTCTAACGTGTTTCCATAGAACTGAAAGGCAATACAAGAAAAAAATAAGTGATGATCTACTCTCTGGTTTTCGTAAGTTTTTCTGAAACTGAAGGTGTCCTGGTAAGAAAGTGAGAGGAAAGTGTTAGGTGTTGCTAACAGGTGTGTTTTTGGAGGCAGAATAATGAGGAAGGGTAATAGTTGAGCAAAAGGCAGAAACTAAAACAATAGGATTAGAGGGCTTTGGACGACAGACACTACTGTGATTAAATTGCCTATCTGGGGAGGTCAGAAAACATCAGAAATAAACTTTCCCTACTTTTCATTCTGTTCTGAGTGACATTTGCAAGTAATATGAAGTCATCCAGATTAAGTGTGATTTTAGATTAATACTGACATTTCCTCTTTTTAAGAAGAAAGAGTAAAAAATAATCTTGGGTAGAAAATGAGAACTATCTGGCCTTGCTCTTTCCTCATAGTGCCTTATTTAAGATATTGTCTTATGTCAAATTATGTTTGGGAAATGGGATGGTTTGCCATTTGAAACAATGATTGGCCAGATACTATACTTTTAATGATAAAAAAAGATTAAATTGGCTGTCTAAAAGTCCACCATTTTGTGGAGTAAAATGGTACATTAGAGGTGGAAAGTTGCAGAATTAAAGGAAACTACGATGCTGCCCATGACTTTCAATTTCCTTAGATTGGGATAGAATGTTTTCTAACTAGTTATTTTGATGGTAAGAAGGTAGAATGGCTTGCTTATTTACTCAGCCAGTTAGAGGCCTTTTAAACACTTGAGGAATGATGACTTCCACATAGCCCTCGGTTTATTTTTAGTCTTTTGCCTCCACTTGACCCTACCTATCCTGTCCTATGTCTATCTCAGGAACACTGAATATGCAAACAATTTCTCAAAAGGCAACTTGACTAAGAGAATGATTGGATTATAACCAAATTATCTCCATGATTAGGGGAAAAAATTAAACATGTGCCATATTTGCCGAGTCAGCAGCATAATTTGAATGAAGGCAGAGAGGGAAGCTCAAAGAGGAGGACAAAGGTTTATCTGTTTTTAGCTTTCCCAAGTGAAATAATTGATTTTTGTTCTGCTTTACCTGAATAAATCTTTTTTTCCTTCCAGCATGTTTCTATATCTAGATTAGCTATTCTTTATTTTTTATAATAAACTTTTAATTTTAGAATGGTTTGAGTTTTATAGAAAAAATACAAAGAGAATATGAAGCTCTGTATACCATACACCTGGTTTCTCCCACTGTTGACATCTTAAATAACAATAGAACATTTGTCACAAGTGATGAAACAACATTGGTACGTTATTAACTAAATTTCTTACTTTATTTATGCATTTTCTTAATTTTTACCCCTCGTCTTTTTTTCTCCCTCAGGATCCTATCTAAGTTTCCATATTACATTTAGTTGTCATGTCTATCCTAGCTCCTCCGGACTGTAACCATTTCTCAAAACTTCCTAGTTTTTTATGACTTAGTCATTCTTTCTTGACTGAATAATTAAGTAGTCAAGAGGGAAAACCAAGAGAATAAATTGATTGGAAAAAGTAAGAGTCAGAGTGTTCTTTATTGACCTCTATTATATCAAAGCTTATATTTGGTGAAAGCAGGGGTAATGCTCAATATTCTCATTATTTAAGTAGATTGTGAATTGTCACTTAAAAATAAAGTTTTTGGCCATTCATTATGTACCCTCCCCATAGTGAATAAAAATCTGTAAACACCATTTTTTCCCCATAACCAGAAGTCAGAACTGTTTCTGGATCATCACCATTTATATTGATGATTCAACTAGAAAGCTTGACCTTGAGAGATACTGCTGTTATTCTATTGAGAAAATGTTTTGTTTTGTTTTTAATGGAAATAATCAACTAGTATGATATTAACATTTTTGCCTAAATGTATACTCTCTACCAACTCAGTTGTACTGACAACCTCTTGAACCAGGGAAAATACCACTAACATAATCTCTTCCCCATCAACAATTGTTTGCATTAAGGATTTAATACAATATTGTTTCCTTTGTTTAAAAGTGTTTAAATTGGTGCCTAGGTGATTGTAGAATTATTTGTATTTAAACTTCATTTGTAAATGAAATTAATGAGTATGTACAAAGTGTATATATGGGTATAATCGAATGGGAAAAAGGCCATAGAAGAAAGTGAGTCTAGGTAACGATTGTAAGATCTGCTGATGCCATGGTTTTGTTGCAAGCTTATCTACAGGTACAAAAAAATGTTCTATGATACAGGTATTGAACCCTCTGATTCGTCTAATTTTGAGGTTCCCTTTAAAATTAACAACTATTATTGTGTCACTCTTGTGTTTGGCCAAACCACCTCTCTAAATCTCAGACAAGCTTCTCTAACACCATGTGATATTGTGAATAGAGTAAAGATTTAGCCACTAAACAGACCTCGGTTCAAGTTGTGCTTCTGCAATTTAGTAGCTATTGATTCATCAGCAGCCTCTTTGATCTTGTTTAATACACTGATCACTAACATGTAGGTATGTAACAACTATTTTAAAAGTATTGCAAGTATGTAATGACTATTAAAAATCATATATAATACTCAAAAATACTTGTACATTCTGTAGGCAAAAATATCTGTTTTTTTCAAATATGCTTATAATAAAGTTATCTTTGGCTTAAGCTAAAAGGAAATAATTCTTTATTTTCTTCCATGGAAAAGACTGAAAAATCTAAGCAATATTAGTGCAGTAGGTGAATTTTTTTGTTTAATTTATTGCCAACATGTGTGTTTTATACATACAGAAATCTATAGTAAGACTCTCAAACTAATTTTCATGGATATGTTTTCTTTTGTCACTGGAAGCATTGTCTCAAATATAAATGACAAAGTCACAAGAGAGGAAGCAGATGTGCCCCTGTTTGTGTTCATAAAGCTCTAGTCTCTATGCAATTTCTGGTTCATGGATTATACACAAAATATATCAGCATCATTAAATAATATTTTTATATATGCTTTTATTAGCTACCAAGTTAACTTTCTCTTTTATTCTCCATCAACTCAAAGTCTCATAGCAACAATTTTCACCTTTCTTTGCAATGAGATGTCACTGTGGAAACACATGATGAATGATACTCAGAGAACTGTTTCCTTCAGTATTTTTGGAAAGGCCATGTGTTCAGCATAGTTTATGTCAAAAGGTACAGACCACAAATACAGATTCTCTCCATATGCTTGAAGGTCAGACAATGGCAATGAACACTAAAAAAAAGACATCTCTTGTTACTGCTTCTATTTATGATCTGTCCCTATGAAAAATCTCATTTTAGAATGCTTTTCTGAGAAAAATTTGGAATCAAAACGTAGACGCGACCTGTTGAAAATTCATCTCAGTCTAAGCACAATATTTATCCTGTTCATTGGAAGAAGTTGCTTATAGGGTCAGGATTACTCTGTTGTTGTAAGAGGAAAACTCTTAACTGCACCTGTATGTGGCTTAAATCATATCTTCAATCATTTAATAAGAAGTAATATCCAGTTGTAAAGTATCCAAATCTCACTATCAGTTACCAGTGGCTCTATCCCTTTCTACATGGCATTATTTTATAAGAATATGTCTACAGTATATTCTTGTAGAGCCTCTAATTTTTTTCAGAAATACCAAATCAAAATTTAGAGACATATATCTAGTGACCAAAATATCCATAATTTAATACACATAGCTTAGAACTATTTTTAATATATCCTGGACATTGACAAGTTGCTAAATTGCATGGCTGTTTCTTTTATCAGAGTTCCAACCCAGATTAAACCCTAAAACATGAATTGGTGGAGATTTAAATTTATAAAGACAAATTACCTCAGTTGAAGACTGTGGTCTCCCTACCCAGCTTATCATAACACTGTGGAAACCACATAATGCCTGAGGATACACAGCTCCCCAAAGCACCCGGAGAGTAAATTGTGACCATCTGGCCAACACATTAGTCTCCCAGTGAGTGAATAATTTTCCACTAACAATGCGTCTTACATGCATAGAGGAGACAGCTGAATATAGCACTATATGCTGTGAGGTTAAAAAGCCCCCGGTAAAATACTGGGGAAGATTGTAGAGAAGAAAAGAAGAGGTCTAGCAGGCATAGGTAAACCTTCAGGGGATGAAACAAAATGCCTCATTTTCAGACAATAAAAAAGTCTTCAAAAGCTTTGGGTTTATCACTCTACTGCCACACTAGAGCTGATGTCTTTTCTCATAATATCGCATTTTCTCTTGACTTATGTCATACCAGCTTTTCCCCACCCCCACAGAAAACATGTCAGAGTCCTGGTCAGTGTATTTTTCCTGTAGTCCTGTCTCAGGGAGGAGTCTTGTTTCTGCGCTTTTCGTGATACTCTGCTATGGACATGTCTCCCACCAGCCGCATTTCATATACTCCATCATCAGTTGCTTACTCCTGCTTCCTGCCTTCACTGTGTTTGCAACATTGTTTTTCATATTATTTAATCCAGGGGAAAAAATTCTTAAACATTTGTTCACTTTAGCCTAAAAGAGGTAGGTGACTTGTCTACCTGCAAGGATCTGACTGTAACTTAATGGAGTAGGTCCAGGACACTCTATATATCCTCAGATGCTACATGCATCTGATTCACAGTGCCTGCCTTGCTGTTTCTTCATGATGTTTGAATAGCCCAAATAAAACTGGCACAGCTGCACCTGCAGGTCTTTGGACCAAGTCTACCAAGTGAATTTTAACCTTTTCCTTTAAAGTTAAAATTCACTTCTGTGTTCCCTGTTCAGTATGAAACAACCTCGCACCTTTTGCTACCCGTTCTCTGATCTTCTACATCAGACTATCATGGCTTAAGTTATACTCTGTCAGTCTATCCAAACTTCTAGGCATGAAACTTCTTGGTCAAAACTGTCCTGCTGACACAGACTCTTTGCATGAAATTCCAGAAGATATACATTAATACAAACTGATTTCAAGAAAAACAGAAAGATATAGATAAAAAGTAAAAATAGTCTTCCATACCAGTTCACAATCCCTTTCTTACCCTATAACCATATAGATGTATATTAACAGACTTTTTAATAAAAAATTACACTTAAATATGTACATTATTCATATAGATTATATTACTGTTTGTTAACCTATCATTGCAGTTAAGTCATTTTTTAAACTTAAAAGCATATCTTGAATACTTTTCTAAGTTAGTTTGCATAGACTTACCCCATTTTTAATCTGTTATATGATATACTATAGTACCAATATTATGAGAAGCTTACTTTGTAAATATTTATTGTTTTCAATATTTGTATGTTTAAAAAGATGCAATGCACATGCCCCTTCATGTTCACATATATAACTTATTGTTAGAAATGATTGGCAAAGTGCAATTGACAAATTGATGCATTTGTACTTTTAGGAATTTTGATAGATATTATTAAACTGCAAATAAAAAATATTATGCCAATGTGCAATACCATTAATAGCAAAGAGTGATTATTTCCACATTTTTCAAATAAGTTGATATTATCAACCTTTTCTTTTAAATTTTACTCATCAAAGAACAGAAAATAGATCTCAATCCTATTTCAGAATATATTTCTGAGACTAACTTGAGAATTTTTAAATATATTTAAGACTTTTGTTTCTTTGAATTGTATCTGTGTATATTTTGCTTATCTTTTAATTGGTATGCTTGCCATAAAATTTTAACTAAGGTCACCATTGTCCTTATGCATAGGCCTATTTCTATTAAAAGATGTTTCTTCCATAAAAAGATAACCTCACATTCTGAGGACAGTTTACTCAGTGAGTACAATGCCTAATTTTGAGTCAAAAAATTTTTTTTGAAACAATGGCTAGTGAAAGTACACAGATTATCTGTAATATGCTATCTTTAGCATAATAAAATACAGTATATATGAAAATACACAAGATATGCACACTTATGCAAAATAAATATAGGAAGGATAAACCAGAGACTAAAAAGGTTGCCTATAGGGGCAGGTGGATAAATGGTCAGGAGGAAGAAGGGTGGGAATAGGTAGTAAAGATGAGGAGGGAGTGACACTTTTTAAATATATCTTTTTGAATAGCTGCGACTCTTCAGCTATAGTACTATTTCACATACCCTTCACATATTCAAAAAATAAACAAGTAATAAAACCAACTACGATGTGGAGGTAACACACAAAATAGTACAAATAGAATGTAAACACTAATAAATAGATATAATTTTATTAAAAATTAATAATAACCACACTGAAATGATTGGAGGGGAAAGAACTAACCTAAATAACTTAGAAATACTACCTTGCTTGAATACTGTAAGAACAAAGACAAAAGAACTGTAAATAAATACTGTAATCCACTTAGTAAATGTATTTTTCACAAGGGTATGTGTTAGTAATTCTTAAACTATTTTGTGTGAGCACAATAATTGAATATATAAATGTAGTTTTGATAATAAGATCCAGTTTCTCACAAAGTGAGAAAAATGTTGCAAAGCAAGTCCTGTGGTGTTGGATGGAAATCAATAGATGGTTACATTTGTGTGAGTTAGAGTACATGCATGTATTTCTTATGAGGTCTCTCTTCTGCTAGAGACCCAGAAGCCATGACACGTCAGCAAGCAGTGAGAACACTTAGTGCCCAGCTCTTTGTTTCAAAAGACCATCCTCCAACAAAAAGAACCAGGGGTCCATGGATAAGTGGTTGATCCTAAGGTCAGGATAGGATAAATACAAGTTTGATACCTTGTGGTGCTACAAAGTGAAGAAAATATTTTTTTGACATGAGAACTCATTGAAAGAATACAAAAGTCAACCTGAACAATGTGAGCAACAAAATGAATTATTATATTATTGGATTAAAGTGGATATCCATGAGTCAATTTGAATATAAAGAAATAAATAAATGAATGAGAAAAAAACACCTTTTACTTATAGTAGAATTTCAATTAATAAATGTAGAGGGAATGGAGGACCTAGCAAATCAGCATTAGGCAAATACAAAGGTAATACTTTTTTTTCAAACAAAATACACTTTTGGACGCTAAAACTTGGGTTGAAATTTTGAGAAGAAACAGGATTTGCGTAGTCTCAGGGAGTCTACCCTCAAGGTATTTATTAGCTATAAAGGAAAGATAGTTAACTTTAGGAGGAGAAACCCAGTAGAAGCCACGTTAAGCAAGGGATGAAGGCCATCATCAGCGATAAAAAGACACAATGGCCCCATGAACTATGTAACATAATGTCCTGAGAAGGGCACAGTATGATTTCTGCAATACTCTTGTGAAGTTTACACAAATACAAACCTCAAAAAAATGATGATAAAACATCAGATAAATGCAAACTAAGGGACATTTACAAAAAGTAACTGGTTAATACTTTTCAAAACTTTCAAGGAAAGACTAAGAAACTTTAACATGCAGCAAGAAATTAAAGACAAATAATAATTAAACATAATGTAGGATTCTGGATAGTATCCTAGAATGGAGAAAGGATTTCAGAGGAAAGCCTAGTGAAATTACAGTAAGACCTTTATATCAAAAGTCAGCTGTCTGGATGTCTGTTTTTGTAAGTTTTATTGAGTACATCCATGTTCATTCACTTACATACTGTCTGTGACTGCTGTCACTCCTCAATGGCAGAGTTGAGTACATGTGACAGAGATTGTATGACTTAAAAAGCCTAAGATACGTATTATCCTGTTCTTTAAAAAAGTTTGCTGATCACTGGCTTAGTTTACTATTACACCAATAATAATTTCTTGATTTTGATAATTGTACTATGGTAAAGCAGGATATTAGCCTTAGGGAAAGTTAGGTGAGGGTTTTACAAAAATCCTCTGCCATATTTCATAGTTTATCTGTAAGTCTAAAATTAGTTAAAAATCAAAAGTAAAAAAGAGAGAGAGAGAAAGTAAATGAGGAAGAAATATTGGCACTATAAAATTCCACCATTTTAGCTAGTACAGAAGAGATTCATTTTATTAAGTGCTGCTGAATGATGGTCCATAATGTGGTTTTATCATAATTTGATCAAGTGTATTTCTATTGGTGTGCATTTATTATGTTTCCGCTTATGCCACCACTAATAATGCTGTAATAAACAAAAACAAATGTAAAACTGTTATGTGTAAACCAGTTTTTGCTAAAGGCCAAATGATGGTCATCTTTAACAAAAGAAATTATGAGTTATTTTGCAAAATATCCTTCTTTTAATGCCTTATTTATATAATCTAAAATTGTTTAGACTTTAACAGTGAAGTGTTTAAATTGTTTTTTTAAATTTAGGCTTTTCACACACTTTATATGACACGCTTCTAGATACAGATTTCTCAACCATTTGCACTATTGACATTTTGAGCTGGATAATTCTCTTCTATGCGGACTGTTATGTTTAGCAGCATCCCTGGCCTCCTCTTTCTAGATGCCAGTAGCACAACTAAAATGCTTCTATACATAGCCAAAGATCTTTTGGGAAGTAAAATTGTTCTCAGTTGAGAACTACTGTTCTAAAGTATTAACTTATTCTTATTTATTAATGTAAGAATAATAAGTTAAAATTTAAATGAATTTATACAATACATAATTTTAATGAGTAATGAAAAATAATTTAAGCACAACTTACATCAGTTAGCTATCTCACTAAAATTATAAAGAGAAGAATGATACATATATTATAAATTTAGATTTGTTATTGTCCTTGGTTACTTAGGAAGTGTTATTATAATTTTTATGTCATATACAAGGTAAATATGACTATTTACCTAGAATCATACTATATCTAAATGACTTTATGTTTATCCTAAAATACACAATTACTATTTACACCATTTATGAGTATCTGATACGTCAATTCATTTGAAAGGAGAATTAACAGTAATGCAAATGTAAACCACTTATGAATTTGAAGGTCTTGAATCATAATTTTAGCCCAAAGAGGATAAAGCACAGCTTCAGAGAAAACATTTGTATTTTTAGCTCTGTTACACACTAGCTATATGAAGTTGGGCAAGTTATGCAACTTGAGAGTCACAATTGTATTATCTCTCAAAGGAGGCAATAAAACTCTACATGCCTGACTCGTGAGGGTTTCAATATTATATTCAGCTCCTAGGACAATGCCTGAGAAGTACTAGGCTCTCAATAAACATTTGCTGAATGAACAAATGAATGTATGAATGAGTGGAGTAGTTATAAAAATTAAATGAGATAATGTGCCTTTGAAAATATATGATTTTTTGTATATAAATTGAATAAACCAGCACATTATGACATTTAAAGTACTTGTGAGATAGTCAGGCTTTGCCAATTCTCCCCTTGATAGTTTGGGATGGTAGAAGAATTCACTATGGGGTAGGGGAAAATGAAAGCAAAAAGCATGCAATTATATCATCCAGATTCAAGCAAAGCAGTATATTTATCTTTTATATACTGAGTTCCACCTTGAGTTCAGACAAAGAGGAGAAGTCAATAGCTAAACATACATAAATACACAATGAGGATGATGATAATAACTAAACAAAAGCCAGAAAAACAAACTCAGAGGAATTGAACACCATTGTGATAAGAAATAAATAGGGTTATGATCTGGACTGAGATCAGACTAGAAGCCTGTCATCAAAGCAGAAGTCAATGCCAACTCCTAAAGTGGTCCAAAGTAGGGTTCAGGTACTGAATCAGATCACACAAAAAGGATGATGTTCAAAGTTAAGAAACAGCTGTGCAAACCAGTTAGTGACCAGATTGCCTAGACAACAAACAGCATAATGGTTTTGTTAGAACTCGGCAAACAGGAACCAGGGAATGTGCAGAAACTGAGTGGGCAGGGAAAGTGAAGCAGAGATATATACATAAGTTACTGGTAACAAGGAGGAACACTGACAAAGGAGGCAGAGCTTTGCCTTGGGCTCTGGACGTTGGTGTGGTTTTTGCTGTGGGAGGAATCAATTTCAGCCTGGCTAGTCTTGTATGAGACAATAATTGGGAAGAACTGGTTGGGTTGAGTGGGTGTGGCAGAAGCAGACAGGAATTGATGTCAAACACATCATGCCAAATTGACTAAAAAAAAAAAAAAAAAAAGAGAGACTCTCATGGAGTTTGATTTTTCTAAACTTTTAAAAAATTTACCTCAATTCAAGGCTGAACAACTACACAATTTGAAAATAGATATCCCTGAGGTAAATGTCAGAGAATTCTTTGAGTTCATGTTAAGTATAAGTGCATTTTTGATAACTTTTTGTGCATTAATTTAGGTAATGCTAATAAACTTCAAAGTTAAATATTATTAGCCTTACTTTACAAATTTGGAAAATTTGCACAGAAATGTCAAATAACTTTAACATTTAACAGGCACAGAAATGTTAAGTAACTTTCCTAAGATCACACAGCTGGAAATTGATAGAGCTGGGATTCCAGCAAAGAATACGGGCTGAGGAAACAGCAAATGCAAAAAGCAAGTGCAACAAGCTGGGAGTTTTAGGTAACAGAAAATAGGGCAATGTAGTGGGAACAGAGAGTGGGATGAGCAGAGAAGTAGGTACCCATACAGCGTGCTTTCTTTCAAAATCTCCATGTAATTTCATACTTATTTATTTCAGCTTTTAGAGCTCCACATTTGAAAATGTTAAACTGATCAGCAACAGATTTTTGATGGCTTTGAATGAGTGCTGATAGAGGTAGAACATAACCCAAAGATTTTCCTGGCATGAGTGTATCCTTGGCCATACTGAAATCATGTTTCTCCTGTTTTATCTTGCATCTCCCTAAAAAGTAATTTCTTTAAAGATAACTCTTAATGAACTTTACCCTTTATCTCACTTCTACATGATCTTTACTGAATGTAATAGAAAGTTCACTTATCTCCTCAAGTTAGCTTATTTCAAATCTGACATTGACTTTCAAAATCAGTTTATGTCAACAACTTATTTGCTGTGATAATACTATTTCTGTCTTACAGAAGAGTCTTTTTAAATTTTTCCCTTTCTTCAAGCTCCTCTGTATAATATGTCATCTTATCCCGTTTTTTATTTCCTTCTGAAATAATTCAGAGTCACCAATTTCTACAATTTCAGTTACCACCACTCTTGTTTGATTATTTATCAACTCATTTAAGGTAAGAATTGTGAAAAATTGTCACTCAAATTTAAGTCTTGTAGTCTGTTTGCTTCAGTCCTTCCCTCTAAAAGCTTATTCTGTACCTTCCTGCCAGAGTTATCTTTCTCTATAGTTGATTACTCCAATACTCTGTGTGTGTGTGCGCGCGCGTGTGTGTGTGCATGTACATGGACAAAGTGAACTTAAATTCCCTAATTAATGTCCCTTCACTCTGAGTTGTTATACTACTGGCACTACCATACATAACAAAGCATAAATTGTGATACATGGCTCATCACTATAATACTTTTTGTCAAGTATAAAATGGAAGTAGATACAACGTCCATAATAGTCATCTTTAGGGATTGAGATGATTTGTTTGCAAACATTTCATAAATAATAAATAAGCATAAAACATAGCTATATTTGAGGGTTTTATAAAATCTAATTTTTGAGACAGCTATTATTGGTTATTACCTTGACATTTATCTTTCCCTTGCCTCCCCCCTACTGCATAATTCTTCCTTGTTGGGAAATCTTATGTCTCTTCTAAAATAAAATCTCTGGTCTGTCCTTTCTTTGCTTTCCTTGCAGCGAGGGCATGTGCACATAATACAATTCTGGTCAATGGGATCTTTAAGAACATCTGTGAATAGAAAGGGTTTCTAAAAGTGTTTCTTTCTTGACAAGTGAGAAATATGCACAGAAAATATTATCCTTTTCTTCCTGTCTTAGCATGACATTATGTAAGGATGTGAGACCTACAGCTGTGGTACCCATTTTGCAAATGAGAGTGAGAGTGACAGAGAAAAGAAGTCAGTCCTTGCAGATATTTATTATCTGGTATCAACCCTCCTACTACCTTGCATGGAGAAATGCCCTCCTAGTTTGTGACAATCAATTAAATAGTTGAACAATTACACAGTTTGAAAATAGATATCCTTGAGGTGAATGTCAGAGAATTCTTTGAGTATATGTTAAGTGTAGATGGATTTTTGATAACTACATTTTTGTTACTCGCAGTTGAAAACTTCCAAGATGTTCCATATTTCTATTACACACTTCATAGTATATCATTGTTTTATGCATTTAAATAATAATACTTGCTTTATTAGTAACTATATTATTCTTTAATGCATGTCTTCATGAAATAATGACACAACTGATATTCCCCAAAAAGTTGAGTCACATAAGGTGAAATCATTAACAAATTAACATAACCATGTAAATTAACAGAATTCCAAATGACTAAGGCTTACATAAGCAAGGCTTAAAATGATAGCATTCATGCTGTAGGCAATAAGAACTTTACTAAAATCTAAAATTGTGATATGTTACCATGCTTCTGAACTGATATGACACCTTAGCAAAGCAAAATTCCACAGCTTTATGTCTAATATCTCCTGTTTTCCTTATTATAAATATTGTCCAAGATTTCTCCACTTGTTTTCCCTTCTGCTGGAGTGTCACTGTATTATAAATTAAATTCAGAGACAATAATCTGGAATATTTTAGGAATATTCAAACACATGGGCAAGTAGCTTATGATGATTCTGAAAAATAGCTCTTTGAAAATTTAGTGCTTATTATTATGTGTGTCATCAAAAAAAAGCTGCTCTGTCAGCTTCTGGAAATGTTTAGCAGCCTACAACCCTAATGGAAATCTCATCAAATATATTTTATCAAGTGGGATATCATTTCTGAAGCATTGCTTTTCAATATTATACAGGCCAACATTTTAGCTCCTAGCAAAGTGTGAAACTTTAAAAAAATATTTTATAAAACACTTTATTACATGATCACACTAAATTTGGTTAAGTTGCTGGAAGAAAAGCTGATTCTGTGGCTAAAATAATTTTACAACCCACAAAACTGCTTCGAAGTATAGAAATTGTCTACAGTATATGACTGAATTGAAGTTTCAATTTGCAAACACAGCTGGAACCATTTGAAAGCAAGTTCCAGATGCCATGACAGAGCCTCTTCCAGATTTTGAACAGCTCCTGTCAAAATTACAAGTAGGAAACAAAAACACTATGCCTGTGGGAAACTGAGTCTGCTTATCATCCCATAGCTGCCAATTTAATCAAATTACCACAAAGAGCAGCCGTCAACCATGTGCCTTCCGATAGAATACAGTAAGAAGTGCATATCATTTTTGTGGTAATCCCACCACACATGCTTATGAATCTAATAATAAAGAAACATCAAGCCGGGCACAGTGGCTCACACCTGTAATCCCAGTGCTTTTGGAGACTGAGGAGGGCAGATCACCTGAGGTCAGGAGTTCAAGATCAGCCTGGCCAATATGGCAAAACCTCATCTCTACTAAAAGTACAAAAGAAAATTAGGCAGGCATGGTCGTGGGTGCCTGTAATCCCAGCTACTCAGGAGGATGAGGCAGGAGAAGCTTGAACGTGGGAGGCAGAGGTTATAGTGAGCCAAGATCGTGCCACTGCACTCAAACCTGGGTGAGAAGAGTGAGACACCATCTCAAAAATAAATAAAATAAAATAAAATAAAAAAATCAGACAAATTAAAATTCAGAAGCATTCTATGATATATATGGCTTGTATTCTTACAACATATCAGAAAGAACAAGAAAGTCTGAGAAGGTTCCAGATTAAAAATACACCTAAAGCTATTTAAACAGTGATGTGCTACAGGTGAATTCAGATTGGATTTTGAACTAAGTAAATATTCATAAAAGATGTTAGGACAATTCACAAAATGTAAATATGGAATGGGTTAGCTAATAGTAGTATATATTAATATTAACTTCTCTAATTTTGAGAATTTTACCAGGTTGTATAATAGAATATCCTTTTTCTGAAATACCAGTGATACATTCAGGATTAAAGAGATAATATGTCTGCAACTTCCTCTCAAATGGGAAAGAGAAAAACAAAGAAAAGAGAGCACACAAATGGGGCAAAATAAAAATAAGTTTTGAGTCTTAGAAAAGGACATATTAGTTCCATTTATTATGCCTACACAATTTTGTAACCTTGAAATAACATTAAAATGAAATTATTTTTAAAATATTCTGGGAATGCTTCTTGAACAAAGAGAAGTTAACATACTTTCCCTCATTTTTTTCTGCTAAGTACAAGAAGCTCTGAGGATTATAAACAAAATCTACATAAAAAGATTCTGAATGGTGGAAAGAAGGAAAATCTGCTAGGGACCTTAGGACTCAAAGAATGCCATGGTGGTGAATTCCCGGAGTTTTCTTCTTTTGCCCCATATAATCCCAGGCTGAGACCTGAAGAAGTGGGTAAACTACAAACACTAATGAAAGCAGATGCAAAAAAGCACACACACCGCCCCACCATGGAAAAAAGGTCTTTCTCTCTACATAAAGGACTAGGAGGGGGTCAGACTGGAAAAACAGAAAATTTTAGATAACATTCTATTCCAAACACCACAGAAACAACTATGGCCCATAATAGAAAAGGCTTGGTTGTGAGCCTAGACTTCCACCCCCATCAGGCTGTGACCAGGCACCCCAAGCATCCTCCAAGGTTGGAGTCAGAAAGGACAAATATGAATCAGGATTTCCATCCCCACTAAGTGGTAACAAGCTTCCTTCTCCCACAAACATATCAGTGGAGACCACATAGGGAGCCTACAATTCCACCTTTGCCAGGAGTATCAAGATCTCTTCCTCCTTTCCCAATAAAGTGTTAACAGAGGATGCCTAGTAGACAGACAAAACTTCCACCACCACCTAGAAATAATGAGGCCTCACTCATGACAGTGACAGCAGGGTCCTAGTGGGAAGCTAGAAAAACAATCCCACACAACAATAATTTGAAACCAACTCTTTAAGTGAGGAAGGAGGCAAGGTAGGGAACCTAGAATACTACACTCTAATAGGAATAATGAAGTGGCAGCCCCTGCTCCTGCTGAAGTAGTGCCAGAGAAAGCCATTTAAAACAGAAGGTTTAAATAATATCTATAATCTCATTAACATAATGCACAAAATATCTAGGTTCCAATAGAAAATTACTACATATACCAAAAGCCAGAAAGATCACAAACTGAGTCAAAAAACATAATGAATAGAAGCCAACCCAAATGTTTTATAAACTTTAAAGATTCTCTGAATGGCAGGACACAAACATCGACACATCCATAGATAAAAGGCAAAACTCTCTTACTTACAGCTCCAAACCAGAGAAGCCTGCCATATAGGGCCATACAGAAAGTTTTACCCAACCTTAAGGTAACAGCAAACCAGAGCTACGGAAGGCAGCTTATATATGGCTTAGACATACTGTGAGGGTTAGCTAGGTTTCCCTGGGCTCCTGGTGGATATTGACTAACTTGAACAATTTAACAGACCCCAGGGCCTAGGGGCTGTCCCTAGTTGCCTGGTACCTAGCCAAAGAGTGTGAGAACCTCAGAAGCTGGAAGTTTGGAGGCATGTTTGGGGTGTATGCTCAGTAACCCATAGAGTTACTAAGGGTATCCATAGCTGTAGTACCCATATGGCACCGGGTACCCATAGAGTTATGCATAGGGAACCTAGTAAGGGAAATGGCTAGGGTAAGTAGGGTGCGAGTTCAGCCAACTGGAAGCAAAGGAAAGTTGAGTTTTTAGTCATGATTTCAACACTGGGACAAGACAGATATAACTTGTGGAATATTGTATTACAAGAGTTGGAATAGATACAGAATGCAGTGAAGCCCTAACTCTAGCATAGTTTTGCAATGTGCTGCACACTTAACAGATGATCAATAAATGATAGTGGGTTGATGCAGTTATTTAAACTGCATATTATGTTGAATGAAATCCATTTTGGATTTGGGTCACAACATCACAGCACTAGCATTGAAAGGGTCACCCCTGTACTCTTCAGCTTATACACTGCTGCCATATATATAAGCTTATATACTGCTGATAACTGGGTACATGAATCTCTTGGTGTCAAGCTGCTGATACTTAGCACTTGCTGCATCTCCAAGGAACAATTCACAGCTGATGAGTGCATTCTTTCATTTGAAAGAGATATGAATTAAACATATTCTTATATTGTAAGGCCTATAATTTTCTTGAAAATAATTTTTAAAATAAGCGTAGGATGCTCATTGGTCTAAAGAAAAGATTCTAAATCTTGCTAGAAAGACTTCCAATAATGATTTCATCTTAAGGAAAGGAAGTTTGGAAAAGAAAACGATGGCTAAGTCGGGAAGCCTGTCATTTGAATCTGCCACTGTTAATCACTACTTGTGTAACATCCAACAAGTTCTTACTGTTTCTGGGCTACATTTTTTCATTGGCAAAATAAGAATAGAATACCTACCAATAATGGAGAGATTGATAGCTATCAGAGACTAAAGTGAAAAATGGGTTTAGACAGTGAATAATTTGTACATGTCTTTAAGGAAATGTTTAATTTCAACTTTCATTACTACTGTTGATATTATAGCCAGCATTAGACATAAGAAAAAGAACATAACCTACTTATTTGGTGTTAATTGAAAATAGTAGGAAAGACCTATGAACTGCAGTAAATGTCAACATTAACACACTAAAATATTAGCAATTTAGAAATGCTCTTTTAAAATATAAGGATTACTAGGAATGGTTAGAGAAAACAACACAGCCAATGTTTTACACTTTAGGGTAAATCCCTCTAAGTATTTTTTCAGGTATTTACCTCAAACAACTATGTAATATACATGATGATCAAAAAGTGAGTATTCAGGAGGATGATATGTATATAGCAAAACAGGTTGTGGAGCTCTTCTTCCAGGATCATAAACATTTAGGGAAACAACACTTGTTCATAAATAACTGTGATTCAAGGCAGAAAACTGGAAGAAGGTATTTCAAGAAATAAAGAAATACAGACTAATCACTCTCATGAATTCAAATTAAAACACCTAAAATATATATATTAACAAGGCAAATTCACCAATAAATAAAAATGGTAACACAATATAACCAAGATGAGTTCATTTTAGAGAATGAAAGTTTGATTTGCATTATAAAATAAATTTAATTTACCACATGATTAAATAAATGGGACAGATAGGCAAATTTCTTGTGCAGAAGCATTCCAAATAAGCTATATAAATTAATATAGAAATAATAAAGTATTTAGATACACTGCTGTCATGAAAATGAGAAAGCAAGCATAACTCCTCACTCAAAGGGTGGGTTGCATATAGTAATTTTCTTCCAAAGAATACAGTATAGAAAGGAGGAGAAAAGAGTAACTTCACCAAAACAACTTGACAAACACTATCTCAGCCAGGTGAGGAAGGCCAATATCAACAGTGAGAAATGATGCTCGTCATGGAAGAGTCCAGATACTGGCCCCAAAACCTGGGTGTTTTCAGGTCAGACAACAAGCAATTACAAAGGCTTTACCTGGGCGGCATTATGGGGAACAGCTGCCTTACCCATACAGACTAGGTGCACAGCAAGAGCATTGCAATCTCTAAGATGAATTTCAGCCAAGGACTCAGGACCACCAACTGTTCATATTCTTATACCTATCTTAATTTCAGCTGAGGCACCCCTACTTGGAGGTTTTCTTATTGTGGAACCTTCAAACTACTTTTTCCATTCTTACTCAGTTTTTTTCCCACTCCTAGCCCTTCTTCCTTTCTCTCAACCCAGTTGCAGGGTCTGTAAAACTGTAGGAACTTCTTGTTTGAAGCTCCCTGTGCAGAAAAAAGACCAACATGTCCGTGGCGATCTACAGTGTGCTAATTCATAGGGAAAATGGAGCAGCGGGGAGTTGCCACTTTCTCTGATTCATCCTCTTGCTGATACTATCACAGTAAGTGATTAAAGGATTGCCTGACACTTTCATTTTTTTGGCTTGTTGTTTAAGGTGCCTACCCCAATATTTGTTATCTTAGCTCTCTCTCTCCAGCACAGCTCAGCTCTACACCAATAGTATGCATCCTTGATATAGTGTGCTGACAATGTACCCTACCTCAATGGCCTTGTTTTCAAATATGGATAACCCCAGTTTAATAATGAGAAACATAAGACAAATCACATTGAAGAAACATGGTACAAAATACCTGACCAGCGTCCTCAAAGCTGTCAAGGTCATCAAAAATTAGAAAAGTGTGAAAAATCATCATAGCTGAAAGGAACCTAAGGAGACATGACAACTAATTGACATGTGGTGTCCTGGATAAAATCCTGAAACAGAAAAATATCATTAAGTAAAAATTAAGGCTACCCGAATAAAGGATTAAATATCAATATGAATATCAATAAAACATCAATATTAATTTATTAATTATAATACATGTACCATGCTCTTGTCAATGTTAATAATAGGAGTGAGGGGTATTTGAGAAGATAAGTATTTTCTTCACATTTTTTCTCTAAAACCTTTCTAAAATTAAAACGCTATTTTAAAAAATTGAAAGCAAAAGTTGGTCTAATAATTTCATCATCATAATAACCATTTTTTATTGAAAATAAGTTAATGAATTAGTTATGTAGGTAAAAACATACAATAGATGAAACAAAAAAAGCTATAAATTAGGTCTTTGAAAGACTAGTAAGATCAACAAACTTCTTGCTAGACTAATAAAGACAGGAGGAAAACATAAAAATCATAACAATGAAAAGGAGACGTTGCTACAGCCCTTAAAGGTAAAAAAAAAATGAGGTGATAGTATAAACAATTTAATGGCAAAAAATTGAATATTAAAATGTAAGCTTTCATTTCTTTGAAATATACAAGTCACCAAAATGAATAGAAGTTAAAAAAATGAAATAGTACTACATCTATTAAATAAATACAATACATAACTTAAAAGCACTCCTCAAAAAGAATAACAGGCAATGATTTGACAAGTGAAATCTTCCAAAAATGACAAAAGAACTTTTACACTAACTTTTTGTTTTCTTTTTTTTTTTTATTCTTATTTTAGATTCATGGGTAAACATGCAGGTTTGTCATATATAAACTGAATGTCATGGGGAATTGCTGTACAAATTACTTTGTCACTCATGTAACAAGCATAGTAGCTGATGGGTATTTTTTCTGATTCTCTCCCTCCTCCTACCCTCACCTTCAATAAGGCCCCAGAGTCTGTTGTTCCCCTCTTTGTGTCCATATGTTCTTACTGTATAGTTCCCATTTAAAAGTGAGAACATGTAGTATTTGGTTTTCTGTTCCTGTGGTGGTTTGCTAAGGATAATGGCCTCCAGCTCCACCCATGTTGCTACAAAGGACGTGATCTCATTCTTTTTTATGGCTGCATAGTTTTCCACAGTGTATAGGAACCACATTTTCTTTATTTAGTCTAACGCTGATGGGCATTTAAGTTAATTTCATGTCTTTACTATTTTCAGTAGTGCTGCAATGAACATTTACATGCATGTGTCTTTATGATAGAATGATTTATATTCCTTTAGGTATTTACCCAATAATGGGATTGTTGGGTCAAATGGTTGTTCTGTTTTAAGCTCATTGAGTAATTGCCACACTGCTTTCCACAGTGGCTGACCCTTCACTCTGCAACCTTGCCTGCATCTGTTATTTTCTGACTTCTTAATAATAGCCATTCTGACTGGGGATAGAGGGTACCTCATTGTGATTTTAATTTGTATTTCTCTAATAATTAGTGATTTTCAGCTTTTTACAATATTCATATGGGATATGTGTATGTCTTCTTTGCAAAGTGTCTGTTCAAGTTCTTTGCCCACTTTTTAATGAAGCTGTTTGTTTTTTACTTGTAAATTTGTTTAAGTTCCTTGTAGATTCTGGATCTCAGACCCTTGTTGGATGCATAGTTTGCAAGTATTTTCTCTCATTCTGTAGGTTTACTCTGTTGATAGTTTCATTTACTGTGTAGAAGCTCTTATTTAATTAGCTCCAATTTCTCAATTTTTGTTTTACTGCAATTGCTTGCTTTGGTGTCTTTGTCATGAAATCTTTGCCAGAAAATCAAATACCACAAATGGTATTGTCCAGGTTGTCTTCCGGAGTTTTTATAGTTTTGGGTTTTACATTTAAGTTCTTAAACCATCTTGAGTTAATTTTTGTATATGATGTAAGGAAGGGGTCCAATTTCAATCTTCTGCATATGGCTAGCCAGTTATCCCAGCATCATTTGTTGAATAGAGATCTTCATTGCTTGTTGAGATCTTCATTGCTTGTTTTTGTCAGCTGTGTTGAAGATCAGTTGGTTGTAGGCATGCAGCCTAATTTCTGAGTTCCCTATTCCGTTCTATTGGTTTATATGTCTGTTTCTGTACCAGTACCATCCTGCATTGGTTACTGTAGCCCTGTAGTACGGTTTGAAGTCAGGTAATATGATGTCTCTAGCTTTGTTTTTTTGTTTTGTTTTGTTTGTTTTTGTTTTGTTTTGTTTTTTTGCTTAGGTTTGCCTTGGGTATTCAGGCTCTTTTTTGGTTCCATATGAATTTTAAAATAGTTTTTTTTTTAGCTGTGAAGAATGCTATTGTTGATTTTGTAGGAATAGAATTGAAATCTAAATTGTTTTGGGCAGTATGGCCATTTTAACAATATTGATTCTTCGTATCTATGAACATGGAATGTTTTTAATTTGTTTATGTCATCTCTGATTTCTTTGAGCAGTGTTTTGTAATTCTGATTGTAGAGCTCTTTCACTTCCCTGGTTAGCTGTACTCCTAGGTATTTTATTCTTTATGTGGCAATTGTGGATGGGAATGCATTCCTGATTTGGCTTTCTACCTGTATGTTATCAGCATGTAGGCATGCTACTGATTTTTTACGTTAATTTTGTATCCTGAAACTTTGCTGAAGTTGTTTATCAGCTGAAGGAGCTTTGAGGCAGAGACTATGGTGTTTTCTCGATATAGAACAGTGTTGTCTGCCAACAGGGATAGTTTGACATCTTCCCTTACTATTTGGACGCCTTTTATTTCTTTCTCTTGCCTGATTGCTCTGGCCAGGATGCCTAGTACTATGTTGAATAGGAGTGGTGAGAGAGGGCCTCCTTGTCTTGTGTCAGGTTTTAAGGGGAATTCTTCCAGCTTTTGCCCATTCAATATGATGCTGGCTGTGGGTTTATCATAGATGGCGCTTATTATTTTAAAGTATGTTTCTGCAATGCCTAGTTTGTTGAGGATATTTACCATGAAGGAATGTTGAAATCTATTGAAAACCCTTTCTGCATCTACTGAGATAATCATGTGGTTTTTGTTTTTAGTTCTGTTTATGTGATGAGTCTCATTTATTGATTTGCGTATGTTGCACCAACCTTGCATCCCAAGGATGAAGGCTACTTGATCAAGATGGATTAGCTTTTGATATGCTGCTGGATTTGGTTTGCTAGTATTTTTTGAGGATTTGTGCATCTATGTCCATCAAGGATATTGGCTTGCAATTTTCTTTTTTGTCGTGTCTCTGCCAGGCTTTGGTATCAAGAAGATGCTGGCCTCATAGAATGAGTTGCAGAGAACTCCTTCCTTCTTAAGTTTTTGGGATATTTTCTGTAGGAATGGTACCAGCTTTTCTTTATATGCCTGATGTAATTTGGCTGTGAATCCATCTGGTCCTGTGCTTTTCTTGGTTGGTAAGCTTTCTACTAGTGATTCAATTTCAGAACTCAGTATTGGTCTGGTCAGTAATTTATTTTCTTACTGGTTCAATCTTGGGAGGATTTATGTGTCCAGGAATCCATCCATTTCTTCTAGGTTTTCTAGGTTTTCTGCATAGAGATGTTCATAGTAGTTTCTGAAGTTTTTTGTTTGTTTGTTTGTTTGTTTTTTTGTAGTCTGTGGAATGCCCCCTTGTAATTTCTAACTGTGTTTATTTGGATCTTCAATATTTGACAATTTTTGAAACTTTCTTCAAATTCTGAGAATGAGACTTTCTTATACCAATATTGTAATGGAGGTCCTAACCTCCATTACAAGAAAAAAAAAAATAGAGCTATAAGACATAAACAGACAAATAAAACTCATTATTTACAGTGAAAATGATTATGTACATAGAGAAAGAGAATCGTAAAATATTAAAATTAATACATATTTTGGTTAGGTAATTGAATATTAGATTGTTTTCATTTTAATATATTAACAAAAAACAACACAAAATTTAAAATTAAAAAGAATAATTTCATTATAGTATAACTGAAATAATTATATGTATAAGTCTAACGATAAATGTACAAAACTTTAAATACGAAAAAAAGCACTACCATATAATATTGATTTAAAACAAAACCCACATAAATGCAGTGGTATGCAATGTTGAAGTTTAGAAGACTAAATATTTAAAGATATTAATTCTCCACTCTTTTATAGATCCAATGTATGCCCACCTAAAATCCCCAAAGATATATTCTTGGTAAATTGGCAAACTGATTATATAATTTATTTAGAAATGTAAAGGGCTAAGAGTGGCCAACACAATCTTGATGACAAACTACAATGATTGTTAATCACATTACCAGAGGCTGGTGGGGAGGGAAAGGGGAGATATTGGTCAAAGGATACAAAGTTTCAGCTAAATAATAGAAAAAAACTTCTGGTGATTTATTGCACAGCCTGGTGACTATAGTTAATAATAACTTATATTTAAAAATAGCTAAAAGAATATTTTAAATGTTCTTACCACAAATAAATGATAAATATTTGAAGTGATAAATATGCTAATTAACTTGATGTATACTTCTATTAAAATGTCCCATAAATATGTACAAATATTATTTGTTAATTTAAAATGAAATAAATTATAAAATAAAATGTTTTGAAAGTCATAATTCCAAAGAAAAAAATTATTTGTAAAAAATTGGAAAATGGTCCCACTAATAGACCAACATTGAAAGACTGGTGGGTTTACATTCACATATATGCCCTATATGATTTACAACAAAAACGACACTGCCTTGAAGTGGTACAGGAAATAAATTTTCATCAAATGGTACTGTGTTAACCACATATCTACATAGAAAAAAATGACTGATCCCTCACAAAAACACTTACAAGAATCAATTTCAGATCAATTATATTTAAATGTGAAATACAAAACAATCAAGTTTCAAAAATAACATAGAAGAAAATTTGCATGATCTTAGCATGTAGGGAATTATTGAAGAAACAAAACAGCAAATTAGGTAATAAGGAAAATACTGATTAAATCAGAGTTATTAGTATGCTTGTTATGGACTGAATTGTGTCTGCAAAATTTGTGTATTGAAACCCTAACTCCCAATTTGACTGTATTTGGAGATAGGGCCTATGATGAAGTAATTAAGGTTAATGAGGTCATAAAGGAATAAACCAATATGACTGATATTCTTATAAGAAGGAACATCAGGGCGCTTTTTCTTTCCAAGCACATTGAAACCAGTCACGTGAACACACATTGGCTGCCCATAAGAATGGAAGAAAGCCCTCAACAGTAACCAAATAGGCCAGCACCTTGGTCGAGGACTTCTGGTCTCTAAAACAGTGAGAAAATACATTTATGTTGTTTAAACCATCCAATATATACTATTTTGTTACCACAGAATGAGGTAATATAATAATAACATAATATAGTATAATATAATATAGTATAATATGACACAATTTATCTGTTCATTTATCAATGAATACTTAGATTTCTTTTTCCTCATGGCTTTTATGAATAATATTACTGCAAACACAGGTATATAAATATCTTTTTGAGAACCTACTTTCAATTATTTTGGATATATACTCAGAAGTGTAATTGCTGGATCATACAGTCATTCTACCTTAAGTTTGTTAAGGAACCACCTTAATTTTTGTTTTGTTTTATTTGACTACTTATAAAGTTGTAAAATTGCCAGTCAAAAAGATAATTAAAGGGGCATACCCCTGTGGTATTACATACCCCACTAAATACCACCAACATTCCAATGAAAGAATACGCCAGGTATTCTTTTGCTTCATTTGAAACTATTTTACAGTTTTTTGGGTTAAGCTATTTTTATTTCCTTACATCATTATCAAAATTATCTTTTTCATTGATGCATGACAAATATGCAAACATATGGCAAGAGAGAAGGAAATAGGCTACAATGAGGAAATGTGAGAGATAGAAAACTATAGAGTAGTTTGGCAAGAAAGGCAAGAAAAAGTAAAGGGAGAGGCTACAATAGATGAAAGGAGAAAGATGTGGTCATTTCTGGAGTACTAATAAAGTACATAAGTCACAGTTCCTTTATGTCTTCTGTGGACATTATCAGCTCCTTAAGAAAAGCTAATTAGTTTATTATTTTTCAGTCTACATTTTATTTTTATTCTTCAATGATTATTAACTCTGTAATAAAGATGACAGTTATAAATATGCCAGTTGTATTAATAAAGAACCTAAGTATTTAGGCAGAATTGTGGAGATAGAAAACTGAATAATTGAATTATCAGTTTATTTGAGGAAAAGTATAATAGTAATTTCCAACATAGTAACTGCTCCAAGCCAATTTACTGCTAGGATTTTATTTTAGTGTATTACCATATATAACCAAGGAAAATACAAGGAAGTGGACTCTGTCATTGACTTTCCCTTTATCTCTGTGAAGTTTTCACAGAGAAGAGATAAAATACCATATTTTTTACTCAAATATTTCATCTCCCTCTTTGGTTTTTTATTTTTGAAAACCCAGGTGCTCTTTTCAATGTATCTGAACACACACAAAAAATGACTCCTTTAGTTTAGATTTCTGGCAGAATAGTGTCTTGTGAATTCTAAAAACATGTTTAGTTAAAAGAAAATCAATGATTAAATAAGTTATTTTGGTTATGAGATTTTTAAATTGAATACCATAATGAAATTTAATTTCCTAGTAAATAAATATGTTCATCTTCTGTTCTTGGTGAGAAGAGCATTTAAATACAATAATCCTAAAACTTTGTGATGAATGTAGATTTAAATCTGTTTGGAAGATCTAGGGATTAAATCTCAGACAGAAACTATGTAGGTTCATACTCTCTAAAAGCTCAATCCCAAGTGTCACCAAAGCCGTACTCCTCTTGCACTGTGTCACTGACCAAGACAGGCTTAACGTTTCCCTCCACTTAACTACATTTTAGACAGATTTCTTCCTAACTATAGACCTCTGATATCCCCTTTTTTAGGATGCTTACCTTTAAAAACTTGCAATTGTAAATTATTTCTCTTCCCCTAAGATATAAAACTTTTACCAGCTTCTTGCTAGTTTCACAACTAGCAAATGTCTTTCTCAAAGGCCTGGTTGCCTTCCCTTTGAAATATAATCGTCAAGAAAAAAATCTATCTCCCAGTCTCTGTGGGAGGTGAGGAGCCTAACTTTGATAAGCAGCAGTTAGCAAACAATGATGATCTAATAATATTACCAAAATGCCAAGTGTTCTTTCTGGGTCTTGTTCACCACACAGAAAGCCAGTCACTGAGACAATGAGTATTGCCAGGGAAGAAGGCTTTAATTGGGTGCTGCAGCCAAGGAGAAGGACGAATAGTTTCAAATTTATCTCCCTGAGTGACTAAAATTAGAGGTTTATATAGCAGGGAAGAAATGTAACTATGTGCAGGGAAACAGGAATTAGGGAGGGGTAAGGAAGAGAAGTTTGTCAACAAGAAGCAGGTGGTTGGTTAGGCAATGAGTGGTCTGGAATTTCATTGTCCAGATGTGGTGATCTGGTAAGTTTAAGTTCCTTTATACTATCTGGTAGTCCTGAAGGTTGGTTTCCTGAGAAAGGAACTCAGATAAGACAAATGTAACTTTCTCAAGTTTTAAGACTGGAAGGATCAATTTCTATGTTTATTCAAAGAAACCATAAACATCTGTTCTATGGGACAACAGGGCAGATTTCAATAACCTTAACTAATCTCCTCATGGCATACTCCAGTACTTTCCCACCAGCTCTTTCCAGCTCTTAAAAACGCTTCCATCTTTTGTTTCTGTGGAGTTGAATTCAGTCTCTCTCCCCTATGTCAACAGTTTTGAATAGCATCTCCTTTTCCTGCTTAACTCCATCCAGTGGAATTTTTCTTTGATATCACACTATCCCTACCTTTTAAGTTTGAATTCAGCATAGATTTCTTCTTATTTATGTATGATCTTTAATTTTAATAGCCAAGACATAGGAGTCTTCTTTGACATGGGAACCTGATGACCAATATGACATTTCATAGTTTTTATTGAAGTGTGGAATGAATTCATGCATATTAAGCTTCTCTGCAATCCCTTATTATTCATTAATGAAGAAAAAATATCCAATGAGTGATAGAAAGAGAGGAAACTAATACTTAACTGCATACCTAATATGTACCAGGTGTTCACTCAGCTTCTTTATATAAATGCTCTTATTTAATCCTCACCAACACCATATAAGATGCATGTTAATCATCCCCATTTTGCAGATGAAGAAACTGAGATGAGACATAATGGGAAATAAATAGCAGAAACAGGATTCTCACCCAGGGCTTAAGCACTTGAACTTATTTTCTTTACTTCACAATGACTCTTTTGTATTGAATTGATAAATGTATCTAGTATGAATATTCTTTTTGATCATTTAAATATACAAGTTTTCATTAAATATCCTTGGGAATAAGAGATCCTTAGACACAAAAACAGGGGAAAACACTTTGAAGGAAAAAAACTGTTATAATATCCAAACCTTTATTTTATCTATGTATCCTGCATTAGTGATGACAAGGGAATATCTGTGTGTAAAATTCCTTTCAAGCTTTTTTCCCATTTAGTTGGTCTCATCAAAATTTCTAGACAGCACTTACTAATTGTGTCGTATCTTTCACCTAAGGACCAGTATTTATGAATGATAACGTAATGTTACATTGCCATCTTGAAGTAATCAGGCCTAAATATAGGGTCACATTGAGCTAGATGTCAGGAAAAGCAAAAGGTGGAGTCAAATTTAGAACTGAGATTGGTCTAGAACTGAGATTGGTCTAGAGCTGAGATTGTTTATATTGTCTTAGTAAAGGTGTCAGTCTATATTTTAGTGGGGGTGATGTCCTCTCCAAGTTTTGAGGTTGATTCTAGTTGACTTAAACAAACTGTGTCCATTTTATAGCAATTGGTTCAAGAATGGATATATAACTTTGACTCATCCAATTAAAATAAACCTTCCTCTGACAGGAATGTAGAAACAAACTGTTAGTCTAAAGATACAAGGCTTAGAATACTGCAGCCAAGCAAGGTGAGTCAGAGCTATTGTGGGACCACAGTATAGAGATAGTGAATGAGAATGTGGTTAATCCAGAAGGATTGGAGCCCAGCAACGAATTAGGTTTGAGTCCCTGAACCAGGCTGTTTGTGATGTTATACCTACTTCTCTACTCATCAATTCGTTAGACATCAATTCCACTTTTTGTTTAAGTTTAATTTGGGTTTTCTTGTATTTGGGCCTTTAAAAATCTGCAAACAATACTGGTGCCATAAAAAAAAGACTATAAGGACAGAAAATAGGTCTTTTGAAAGAAAAATCACTGTGAGTGAAGAATAATTCTAGAATGGTTGGTCAGGCTTTGCTTCAGAGCATGCTTGGAATGAATAGATACTAACAGAGCCTGAGTGAGATCCGTGATGACAATCCTTATGCCTGTGCACTCCTGAGGAAAGATGATCATGGTAAAAATCAATGTACTCTTTCTAAAATATTGCACTGGAAGAGCTAGACACAAGAAATAAAAATCAATTCACAACTGGCTGGAGAGGGGAAATACCACAGATGTAGAGAGAGGTTGTTAGTAGAAATAGCAGAATCTTGTTCACGGTATGGAATTCGGTGGATTATGGTAGAATCAATGTTGTAGCACAGTCAATGGCCTGAGATCTCTACTCTCAGAAAGACTGTGGACCTGTAGATGGCAGCTCTGATTCTGAGCAAATCACATACTGAAGAATCAGCCGGGAAATTTTCACTGGTTAAGGAGCATAAACGCTGTGGCCTGTGGCAGCTTCTAGTTGTAGTTTTAAACTTCATGTTTTTGAAAATATTTGGAAGAGAAATCCCTGGAAATGCCTGGATTTCCCATTAATCTGGTGGTGAGGGTGTGTGTTAATATTTACCAGCTGATGAAGTCGGAGTGATTGGGATGCAATTACTCAATCTCTAGACCTACTCGGTGCTTGTCCTTTCAAGTTCAGTGATTTCAGTCCCTGGTTAGTAAGACACAGAGCCTTCAGTTGTAAAATCTGTGAAATATGCAATATTAAATGTATCAAGGAATTAGATATTTATTATTCCCAACTGTAATAGTGGGAAATGCAATAGCTTGGCAGTCAGATAACCTAAATTTTATGCCTAAATCTAAATTTGGAATTCTCTGGTTTCAACTTGCTGATCTTTAAAGCAAAAAGCTTGGACACCATAATTTCTCTCTCTCTCTCTCTCTTTTTTTTTTTTTTTGACAAAATCTCGCTCTGTCACCCAGGCTGGTGTGCAGTGGTACAACCTCTGCCTCCCGGGTTAAAGAGATTTTCCTGTGTCAACCTTCTGAGAAGCGCCCACCATCATGCCCGGTTAATTTTTGTATTTTTATTACAGACAAAATTTCACCGTGTTGTCCAGGCTGGTCTCGAACTCCTGAACTCACATGATTCACCTGTCTTGGCCTCCCAAAGTGCTGGATTACAGGCGTGAGCCACCGCTCCCAGCCAACACCATAATTTCTTAGGTCTTTTCCATAAGTAATAGGGAAAAATAACCTCAAACTGTGGCTGATTTATTATTCCATATTGATTCAAACCTTGAGAAGCATTTTTTGCCAGAGATGCTGATTTGGCAAAGGTAAAAAAAAATACATCCAGTCAAGCATGTAAGATATGATTTTTGCATATTTCCTAATAAGCAGGTTCTGCTGAAAAGCCCTTTTCTTCTTTTAGAGTAAAAATGTACCATTTTCCAGCTGGAAAAGACAAATATCTTCTAGAGTAGCTGACTTCTGTATTGTAGTTCCAATTATTAAATTTGATTTAGGTGCTTCCTTGGCACAGGTGGCATATATGCAGATTTATTAGAAAATTTTTGCACTTGATGGGTCTCATCACTAATTTTTTTTCCACCTCTCCACATACCAATTTTCTCCACGTATCAATTGTCAAATTAGTTGATTTTTAGCTACAGTGCAGTGAAAAAGTTATAAAATCTTATTTTAATAGAAAATAGTTTATTATATTTGTACAGATTAAATATTGAAGCAAACTCCAAATGTGGTTACATATTTGGGTCCCTAAAATATGTGAATATTTTCTTTTTCTTTTAACTTTTAAGTTCAGGGGTACATGTGCAGGTTTGTTTCATAGGTAAACTTGTGTCATGGGGATTTGCTGTACAGATTATTTTATCACCCAAGTATTAAGCATAGTACCCATTAATTATTTTTCCTAATCCTCTCCTTCCTCCCACCTGCCACCTTCCATTAGGCCCCAGTATATGTTGTTCCCCTCTGTGTCCATGTGTTCTCATCATTTAGCTCCCACTTTTAAGTGAGAACATGTGGTATTTGGCTTTCTGTTTCTGCGTTAGTTTGCTAAGGATAACGGCCTCAAGCTTATCCATATTCTTGCAAGGGACATGATCTTGTTCTTCTTTGTGGATTTATAGTATTTTACAGTGTGTATGTATCACATTTTCTTTATCCAGCCTATCAGTCATGGACATTTAGGTTGATTTCATGTCTTTGCTATTATGAATAGTGCTGCAATGAACATAGGTGTGCGTCTGTCTTTATAACAGAAGAGTTTACATTCTTTTAGGTGTATGCCCAGTAATGAGATTCCTGGGTTGAATGGTGTTTCTGTTTTTAGATCTTTGAGGAATTGCCACACTGTCTTCCACAAAGGCTGAACTAATTTATACTCCCAGCAGCAACAGTTTATAAGCATTCCTTTTTCTCTACAACCTTGGCAGCATCTGTTTTTTGTTTGTTTTTCCTTTTTATTAATAGCCATTCTGACTGGTGTGAGATGGTATCTCACTGTGGTTTTGATTTGCATTTCTCTAATGATCAGTGATGTCGAGCTTTTCTTCATATTATTGTTGGCTCTATGTCTGTCTTCTTTTGAAAAATGTTTGCTCACATCCTTTGTTCACTTTTTAAAGGGGTTGTTTTTTGCTTGTAAATTTGGTTAAGTTCCTCACAGATGCTGGATATTAGACCTTTGTTGAATGCATAGTTTGCAAAAGTTTTCTCCCATCCCATTCTGTAGATTGTCTATTTACTCTGTCAATAATTTCTTTTGTTGTGCAAAAGCTTTTTAATTTAATTAGATTTCATTTGTTAATTTTTGCTTTTACTGCAATTGCTTTTGGCATTTTCATCATGAAATATTTACCTATGCCTATGTCCTGAATGGTACTGCCTATGTTGTCTTCCAGGGTTTTTATAGTTTTGGGTTTCACATTTAAGTCTTTAATCCATCTTGAGTTAATTTTTGTGTATGGTGTAAGGAAGGGATCCAGTTTTAATCTTCTGCATATGGCTAGCCAGTTATCTCAGCACCATTTATTGAATAGGGAGTCCTTTCCCCATTGATTATTTTCGTCAGCTTTGTCAAAGATCAGATAGGTATAAGTGTATGGCCTTATTTTGGGGTTCTCTGTTCTGTTTCATTGGTCTATGTGCCTGTGTTAGTTCCAGCACCATGCTGTTTTGGTTACTGTTGCCCTGTAATATAGTTTGATGTTGGGGAGTGTGATGCGCCCAGCTTTATTCTGTTTATATAGGGTTGCCTTGGCTATTTGAACTCTTTTGGGATCCATAGGATTTTAAAATGTTTTTTTCTATCTCTGTGAAGAACCTCAATGGTAGTTTAATTTGGATAGCATTGAATCTATAAATAACTTTGGGCACTGTGTCCATTTTCATGATATTGATTCTTTCTATCCATGAGGATGGAATGTTTTTCCATTTGTTGGTGCCTTCTCTGATTTCTTTGAGCGGTGATTTGTGGTTCTCACTGTAGAGATCTTTCATCTCCCTAGTTAGCAGTATTCCCCGGTATTTTATTCTTGTTGTGGCAATTGTGAATGGGAGTTCATTCCTGATTTAGCTCTCAGCTTGACTACTGTTGGTGTTTAGGAATGCCAGTAATTTTTGCACTTTGATTTTCTATCCTGAGACTTTGCTGAAGTTGTTTACCAGCTTAATAAGCTTTTGGGTTGAGACAGTGGGGTTTTCTAGATATAGAATCATGCCACCTGCAAACAAGGATAGTTTGACTTCCTCTCTTTCTATTTGGATGCCCTTTATTTCTTTCTCTTGCCTAATTGCTTTGGCCAGGACTTCCAATACTATATTGAGTAGGAGTGGTGAGAGAGGGCATCCTTGACTTGCACAGGTTTTCAACGGAAATGATTTAAATTTCTGTATTAGTCCAAAACTCTATCTGTGCCATTATATACTGTGCTATCTTCAATGTAGCAAAAAATAAAAATAAAAGCTGTGCATAAGAAATATAAAAGCTAAACAAAAACTAAATGAGTAAAATATTTACCAGTTTTTCATAGTTATGGTTTGTATACTGCTTTTCCAAAAAAATACTGAAAATATGAAAGAGTATTCATTTTAGAATATAAGAATATTTAATTTATTTATAGTATTAGGTAAGTCACTTCATCACTTGTCTCCATATTTCAAATGAACATGAGAAACTTAATGATTTGTGGAATGCTTCATAATGCCAAACTCCTAATCAAAGAATCAATTGCCTTTTAGAATCTTTCTCAAATCAAGAAGTAATTAAAATACAGAAAGGGAGTAGAAAAGTTCACTATTCATTTGGATCAGTATTTTTTAAAATATACTTGTTCAAATGCAAGTGTTATCAAATATTTTCTTGAAAAAGAGGTTCTGTTATCAGATACTATGGAAAAATATTGTTGACCTTATTCCTTCCTAAGAAGTACATGATCCATAACTAACACATTAAGGGTGCTGATAAGTCCTGAAGAAAGAACACACACACACACACACACACACACACACACACACACACACACTCCTCCGTTTATCTTTCTTTAACTCAGTTTTATCCAAATATATTTGATCTTAAATACCTTTCTCCTCAAGTAATACATATTACAAGTATATTCCAAAATTTTCACAGAATGTTATCTACAAACTTTTTTCCTAGATAATATTTGGACTGAAATTATTTGGGCTTTAAAAAGTTTGAGAAATACAAAATTTCTGTATTCTGCTAGAGTTCCTATGAAGAGGTTAGTTTTATCGATTGTACTTCCCACATTTGGCCATATGTTTAATCCATATGTTCATTAATAAGTAGTTTCACAGTATACTTATTTCCTCTAGATTCCTGTTTTTAAACCTAAAATCAATCCAAAGTATATTTTTTTAAATTGGAAAATAAATATCCTGGAAATACATGATTAGTTGATCTAGGGCCATTCTAAATTACAGCGCAGTTTTATTTCCAAAAGCAAAAGATGGGCTTGATTATCACACAATATTTTATTCTGTTTATCTCAACTTTATTTAAAACCTACACTAGGACATTCATGCAGAAAAATACTATTCACACCAATATATGCAGTTACAAAGTACAGTTCTTGGTACGATTTTAGTCCAGATAAGTTTCCATTTGTTTACATGACCAAAAAAGATTATAACATTAAGAAAAGAATAGGCTGATAATACATTCACCAATTCATATTTTCCCTCTGTTTCCTCTTTGTTTATTGAACTCTCACAATGAAAAGGAAGATGTTTTTTCAGAACCAATTCGATGCTTTCTTTACATTCGTGTATCTATCATTTATTAAAGTAATGAAGAAAATGTTTTAAATGTTATAATACGTTCAATCAACATTAACAGTCTATTCTGATATAATTTATTACATTGCAGGTTTGTTTTATTTCTCAGTAAAAGAGATCACATAAACTTTTGAATCCTATAAGCTGTTAATTATTTTTTCTTTTGGATAAAGGAAATTTTACAGCACTGACATAGGTTGTACCTTCACTGTTAAAGAAGTTACATTTTATCTCCCCATGACTTTATCTTTTATTTTTTTATTATTATTAAAGTTGGGCTGTTTTTCTTTTTCTTTTTATGAGTTGGCAGTAATTCATATTTGCAAAACTTTTATACTATCTCAGTAGAATTTTCACATTTTTTTGTTTTCAGCTTCAAATTTGGATTCTGTCAGTCAACTAAATGAGAAAACTCTATAAACTAAGTCATAGATTACACTAGATAGGTACATAGATAAACTAAGTCTAGATTATCACCACCATCAATTCAAAGAAAAATTAGTGATAGATATGGTTTTGTCTGTAAAACCATAGTGGAAACGGCTGTTTATATATATTTTAATGCAGATTATGAGAAGCTGCAATAAGACAACTTTTGGACATGCATGCTAATGATGACAACACTAGATCCTTAGTTACTATGTCCTATTTAGCAAAAGAGCTGGAGGCATGCTGGAGACCTAGATGAGCTCTATTAGGAGGCAGAAAAAGTTCCATGGATAATCTGCTTTCATGAGAATGGCTGACCATACTTGTCAGTCAGGCCACATTTGTGGAAGTGGTGAATAAAAAGAAACCACAGGAATGATTAGATATAATTTGATAGTCAAACCCTATAAGAACACAGAACAGGTGCCTGAATGTCAGGAAAGCTGCAATAAAAAAAATTTTCTGCCAGAATTTTGAAATAAACAGTAATAAAATATATAATATTTAGAATAATTAAAAATAGGTTTTGCAGAGTACAACACATTTTAGGATGGAATGGGGTGCTAAATGAAATTACTTAGTGCAACTAGTATGTGAATATAAACAATATAACCACTGGAATATAAATGAGATCAATTGAACTCCAAGGTTGTGACAAGATGTTCCAGCTTCCTCTTTCCCTCTTAGGAAACGGATACATGACCTAAAAGGGAAGCACCACTTTGAATCCCAGACTGCCTTAATTATTTTCTCTATCTACAGGCTTCATCATCTGAAAAACTTTAAATGAGTATTAATGAATACATGAATGAATGATTATTTAATTACACTTGAATACATACATGAAAGGGTTATAAATTATTTGAAGTTCGTAATTTGAAATAATTAAGGTCCAAGAATTTTTTCATCTAAGCTTGTTATACTGGTTAAATCATTGCTCTTCTATTTATTTTCAAAACTCATATTTTCTCCCACAATTTTACATATTCCTTTCCAGGAGGAGTTTGTCTTCAATTGCAAAAAAAAAAAAAAAAAAAAAAAAAAAGAAGAAGAAACCAGGTAAGATTAATATATTCATGAATTAACTGATGCAATGACTCATTCAACAAACACATTGAGGTTCCTACCAGCTAGAATGCATCCATTGGCTAACAAGTAAGCTCACCTGTTATCTTAAAGGCAGAATGCCCCACTGACCCTTCCTACCTCAGTAATAGAGCTCACTGGTGTATTCAGTGTGCATTACAGTTCCTTCTGCTAAACAGGACACAGTCATCCCAGGACCCTATTGTCTCGAGGAAATGATGAGAAAACCACAAAGGTATGGTTTCAGACTTTGTTGAACTTTCAGCCTCATACAGAAGATAGTTATGATGTAAAACACAGTATGTACTATCTTATGGGATATAGCTGATAGTATCCAAGCAGAAAAAACTGTGTTAAAGTCTGAAAGACAGATGAAATGAAGAGTTAACTTTTCAGGAATGCAGAAGTTGGAGTGGACACCTGGAGACAGTACTCTAGTATAAGGCGGGCACATTATGATGGAAATTAATAATTACATTTACTGTTCTCCCTCTTATAGTTTATATTCCTATCATTATCATTACTTTTCTATAATCAATATACAAGTAAATTATCATTATAAATATTTCAAGGATATTGAATCCTCAGACTAAATATGGAAAATGTTCCTTTACGTCACTCCCCAGTTTATACATAAGACTTAAGAGTTTGGAATACGTCACACTAGTTCTCCAGTTAATGTTCTATGTATATACATTCACATACATATAAATACACATACATGCATATTTTAAATGAATAGGCTCATATTATATACTTAGTCTGAAATGGTTTTTTATTGCAACTTTGCATCTTGGAGCATTTTCCAAAAAGCACACTTAGGTTCATGTTCTTTTTAATGGTTGCATGATTCCCTACAATATAACCCTATTATAGTTATTTAATCAGTCTCTCAGAGATGGTTATTGAAGTCAATTTCAATATTTTCTATGATTAATGAGGTTGCAATGAATATTCTTAAATCTAAACATTTCTCTGAGTCCTGAGGTAGAATTAAAAGTATTTCACTTTCTGATTAATACATTGCCAATCTACTTGTCCCTTCAAAAAGTGTTTTATAAATCTGTAGTCCTACCAGCAGCTATGTCACTGGATACTTTCTAATACCCCTACTGGCACTAGACATATTCAGAGTTTTACACTGTTGACAGATGATTCTATAACTTTAAATATTTTCTGTCTTATGTAAATGCAAGGGCTGAAATTCAAATACCTTTAGGAATCAAGCATGTAAAATACATTTTTAAATCAGAGTGGTAAAGAACTTGGGAAATTGGAAAGGGTATGCTTTGATTACTTTAGATATTGAAATTTATACTTTTCTGAAAATACTCTGTTGGCCTAGTAAAAGAACACTGTGACTTGAGAACCACTGGTTTGGGACCTTGTTCTCAAGGAAGAAGTCTTCAGTGGGAAGACAGTCCGGCCCAGACTTCCATCTTTCCCTAGTTGCATGAAGTCTCTGGTTTACTCAAGGTTAGTCCTTATCAATAGGCAGACTCTGAAAATCCACATATAAACAATCTATTTTAAGGACTAAGGTGTGAAAGAATCACTTTCCATTATCCTAGTATGGGGTGAGTTGTTTCATACTCTGTAGAAAAGTCATTTATCACAGTCATAGTCAGAATGATAAAAGATAAAGCATTTGTAGGAAATGTTACATGTTTTCTATTTTCACGCAAAATGTGTGCTTTGCTCCAGTATTTCAGATTTTTAAAAGCACCATTATTTCTCCAGTGAAACTATGAATTTTAGGTTTTTTCCCCATTTCCTACTATATATCTGTTCTTTTCATTTAAGACATTGCTCAAATTTGTATAACTGGAAAGCTTTGTCTAAAATTTATTTATTTTTTTACTTTTGTAGACATTCAACTTAGTATATTTTAAGTGGTAATGCTTTTCTATATTAATTGGATTGCCATTAAACTAAATAGTAGGGGAGATTTTTTTGTTTTTGATTATTTAAAAAGAGAATCTCAGTTCATATATAATTTTAAGGTGATAGAACTCCTCCTCTATCTTTGCCATACGCAACGGGGCTCTTAGTGGTGATATATCTGATTGTCATGAACCTGAAGAATCAGAGATGGCATATTACTAATTTTACTTAAAGATAATTTTGGCTTGCACCTGAAGGCCAATTTTAATATCTGTGAAGTACTGGGTTGACAAGGCTATGAAAACTGTCATAGTTTTGGGGCATAGGAGAATAATTAATTTTCCAAATTCAACCTACTTATGCTTTAATAAAGCTCCCTCAGCTGCTCACTACTCCTGCTCCCTGGGTTTGCATACATATGAATGTGGTAACAAAATTTCTTGTAGAATGGATTTTTTGATTCAAGACAAAGTCAGCCCTCAGCCAAGTAGTAAGATAAGCCAACTTGGGTAGAAAGAGCTATGTAGAAAGTTAATGTGGATATCTGAATGAGAAATATTTGGTTTAGACCCCATATTTGGTATCTTCATAGTATGAATTTATTGGGAAATCACTATAGCATGCGAGAAATATAGTTTCCTGATGGGTAAAATGGCAATAATAATGCCTATTCTATTAGCATGTGTGTATTCATCAAGGTAAGTTATATAAAACACAATGCAAGCTCCAGTCTCTCAGTGAAGGCCATTAACTTGGAAAAGACATTTGTTAGTTATTTTCCTTTTCTCTGCCTTCCTCAGGGATAACCAGGGTTGGCTCAGCTGTTCTAGCCCATTAAGCAGTTGCTCTTTCTATCTCTAAACTTCTGATGTATGATCTACTCAAATGGATGGTCTTTCCCAATACAGAAGACCTTTCTTTATCAAAAGGTCTTGATAATATAATTCCTTTTGATATTCTTCCCAGTATTCATTTCCTCATACCTTCATTTACCCAGTACTCTCATTTTTACCCCATCCCCTTAGGGGTTTCGATGAAAATACCTTCATCTCCTGCAGCTTCATGTCACTCACTTAGAAGAGTATTCTTACCCTTTGTTCTCTCCCTCCTCTTCAAACCTCACTCCATATTTCTGAGTCCCAACTTATGTCATTCAGTATCTTTCATTTTTCACAAATCCAACCACAATTCCACTGCCTTGATTATCTGAGAATCTTGCTCCTTGGAAGTGCATTTTCTAAGTTGGTGTCTTTAATTTCTCTCTACCAAATGGTGAATGCTTATGTGAACACTCCCTTGTTCAGGAAAACTCTAATGTTCCTCAACCTCTGCCTGAACCTATTCTTTCCCCTTTACTCCCTTCCCTGTTTTTCATGACTACCTTTCTTTCAGGGTACCACCTTGGCTCAGGTTTAGATCCATGTGTACAAGAGAAAGAGATAAATTACTCAAGCCTTCTATGAATGAGTTTGTACCACCAGTTCTGATAAATATTCTGTGTTTCAGGAGGCTATTGTGATGGCCTTGTAATAGATTAGTTGAAATGACTCTGTTGATCTGTCCAGATATGCTGTAGTACTTTCAGAATCCTTCATATAGTATAACTATAATCTGATACATTGAAACTTCTATTCAAATACAAAGTAGAATGTCTGCTTTTCTAACTGTCAAAGCAAGGACCCCGTAAACTGAATGTCTACCAAATAGATGAGTTCATTTTTCAAAACAATTAAATTGACAATAAAATATCAATGTAATTTGACATTACATGACTGATGACATTCTTCTCATATGTATTGATAGTTTTGTTGACTTTGGCTAAACCTATATGTTACAAAAACTTTTTTTCTCTTTTCTTTGTTTTATAATTGTGATCTTCTTTATTAGAACTATTTACTATCAAACTAAAATAACGAGATTCAGAAAATATGATTAAGTATAGAGTTTATTCAAGCCAAAAGCTTGAGGATAGTCACCCAGGAAACACAGGCTGCAAGTAAATGGGATCAAGTTTCCAAAGTGAAGAAGCTAAGGTTTCACTTACATAGGCAGAAACAGGGAAGTTTAACAGGGTGACAACATTTTCCATATAAGGTCAGTACATACTTTACAATTATTTTATTTGTTACAACTTGCTACATTCCAAGGAAGATTACTTAACATTCCCTAAGGAAAGTTAATGGCCATTTAGTCCTTCCCAATCATTTATAAGACAATAATAAGGAAGAGATTTAATATATAATCAGAGAAGCAGAAGTTGTAGCTGCATGCTACTTGACTCAGGCCACATAGTCACGTTACTCTCAAGGCTTAAATAATGTAAAATTCCAACAGCCTTAGGTTTGCCCTATTTAATTTCACATTACCAAACTGTGAACTTTGTAAGCCAGTTTTAATAGTATATTTTTATCAATTAATTTTGTATTTATATATAATTGATATGCAATAATTGGACATATTTATGGAGTACAGGGTGATGTTTCAATGCATGTATACATTGCATAATTGATCACATTGAGGTAATTACCATATTTATTCTTTTAAATATTTATCATTTCTTTCTGGCAACAACATTCAAAATCTTCTTTTCTAGCTATTTTCAAATATATACTACACTGTTATTTGCTGTAGTCACTCTACTGTGTAATAGAACACCAGAATTTATTCTTCCTAACTGTGACATTGTACTGGTTGATGAACTCTTTTTAGTGCCCCAACCCTCTTACACTCTCAAGCCTCTGGTAACCACTCTTTTACTCTGCACTTCTATGATTTCAACTTTTTAATTTTATTTATTTTTAGTTTTTATTTATTTTTTGAGACAGGGTCTTGCTTTTTCATGCAAGCTAGAGTGCAGTGGCACAATCACAGCTCACTGCAGCCTCAACCTCCTGGGCTCAAGCAAATCTTCCACCTCGAGTAGCTGGGACAACAGGTACACACCACCAAAGCTAATCTAATTTTTATTTTTTTTTGTAGAGATGGGGTCTTCATATATTGCACAGGAAGGTCTCCAACTCCTGGGCCAAGTGTTCCTCCCACCTTGGCCTCCCAAAGTGGTGAGAGAACAGGTATGAGCCACTGCTTCTGGCCAAAATCAACTTTTTAAGATACCACATATAATATGGTGTTTGTCTTTCTGTGCCTGGCTTGTTTCACTCAACATAATGTCCTTCAGGTTTATTCATATTGCTGAAAATGACAGGTTTAAGACAAAAAGAAATAACAAATGCTTGCGTGGACACACAGAAAGGAGAATGCTTATACACTGTTAGGAGAAATGTAAATTATTACAGCCATTATGGAAAACAGTATGGACAGTCCTCAAAAATAGAATGATTGTATGATGCGGCAATCTCATTATATGCAAAGAAAGTAAATGTGATATGCTGAAGTGACATCTGCAATCCCATTTTATTCCTGTGCTTTTCACAATAGGCAAGGTATGAAATTAACCTAAATGTTTCTGTATATGTGAATGAATGAGGAAAATGTGGTATATATATTCAATGGAATACTATTCAACCATAAAACAGAATGAAATATTAATAATTTCTGTAAAGCTGTTCCAATGATGCAAAAGTCAGTCTAGTTTTGTTTTCTTATGTTTAAATAACATTATCTTTGAATATCAAGATGCTAGAGTCTAACTTTTTTGTCAACTTAAAAGAGGAAACTGAGGCAAAATTAATAATATAACTAGAGATTTTATTTCAGCCAAATTTGAAAACTGCAACCCATTAGACATAGGTTCAAGTTGCCCTGAAAATATACACTGATTACCAGCAGTTACTGGTGGGTTTTTAAAGGAAAAAAAGAATGAGGCAATTTTGAAGTTATTTATTAATAATTTACATAATTTACATTGGTTAATTAAAGTATTAGATTATGTTATCAGGGTTAATGCAAAATATTAGCTTGTTATTAGATCGGTGCACAGTATTAACTTATAGCATATTAGCTGAAGGTATTCATAACATTAGCTATTAATTAGCTATACATCGTTCTTTGTGTTAAAAATTTTAGGAACCGGATGATAATGAATAAGGATCACACTGTGCAACTTGTGATAACAATTATGTAACGTATAAGCTAGTCTGGAAACTACAGGGAAAAGAAGAAAAAACAAAATGCCTTTAAACAATTACCTCTGGGCTTGGCTGCAGGAGACATAATTGAAGTCTCATGCTATGTCTCTCTGGGTCTGATAAATTCTGCATGCCTCACATAGCTCAGACTGCTTTGAGTTATTTTTTTGTTTTTCATGACTAGTCTGGATTCTCACCCTTTAGCTGTTATTGCCCACAACCAGCTCTCCCAGGGCTTCAAAGAATCATTTGAATTGCGAATGATTTTGAGGAAAGATCCTCAAAGCAGCTTAAATCAGGATAGTTAATCTCACGTGTGGACCAAAAATTCATGGAAAAATAATGTAGAGTAAGCCAGCCACAGTCACTCAAAGAAAGCATCTTTTCATCTCCTCAATGTAGTAAATACATTCAGCTATCTACCAGGAGGTATGTGCTCCTTGTATGTTAGAAAATTCAATATTATTAATTTAACAATGAAGTCACTATTATGTGACTTCAAATCCAGAAACCACAGGAAAACAATTCAGAGGCTGGCACTTTCATTATAGGAATACTTTTCCTCCACTGCCATGGATTTAGGACCCGTAATAAACAAACCAGAGGCTTGTCTCTACATCATTGTGAAAAAATAACCTTCCTGATAAACAAAAAGATGAGATAGTAGATTATTAAAGAGTGTGACCATATATTCTCCACAAATCAATGTACTTGCTTTTTTTAAATTTAGACTCATATATACAATACTAAGGTTTTAAAATTATATTGCAAAGAAACTTATGCAAAATGATGCATTTATGCACCCTAATCTCTCTGAAATTCAACCTGATACAGAAACAGCCATAATCCCCATCAGGCCACAAGGATATATGCAGAATATAATACCAGCGAGGCTATATACTGACTGAATATTAGATTACCTGGAAAGCTTTTCATTAATCGGCTCTGTCACAGCTAATTTACAAAATGTGGCTTAGATCTATAGATTAGTTGCTGCTGTTGTTATTTTTTAAACTCCTCAGGTGCTTCTAATACGCAAACAAGTATGAAGAAAACACTGATGTATACTGTAGAATTTGCAATGATTTTTCAGTTATGATATTTGATAACTCTATATTGTCCCAGGCTGCATGTAACAGAAACAAAGCAAATACCTTGAGCTAACCAGAACTCCAGAAGTAAGTGGTCCTTGGCTAAATTCACAACTGCACAAGTTAATCCATGCCATATGGCCCCTTAACTTTCTCTTCAAACATTAGATTGGGTTTTCCTTCTAGCCTCTGCTGTTTTTCCAGGGGGAAAAGAAATTAACAGGAGGTATGAGGGTTGCCTTATCAGAGAAATATTTTTTTTCCTAGAAGTCTACAAACTGACTTCTCAGTTCCCAGAATTTTAGCTACAAAGAGAAAAAAAAGAAAGAAAGAGAGAGAGAGAATTTGGGAGATACACTGCAGTGATGTTTTTTTCTGTTTTTATTAACACCAATGTTATTCTTACTTTGTATCCACAAAGTATGCACATCATTTTGATAAGTCTTGGTTGACATGTAATATTATTTTTCTACGCATCAAAAAGTCAGCAATCTTTCTGTTGACTTTTCACCTAAAAAATAAGAAGATTGCATATGTGAAATTTCCTTGGGGACCCATTTCCAAAAGAAGAATCATTTTTCCATAGATAATATGATAGATAATTTACTTAATGGTACTGCCCAACCTATGTGATAAAATCGTACTATCAAGAAAATGGCAAAAATATAATGGCCCATTAACCAACCTCTACAATTTACTATTTGGTCAATGCTTATGAAAGTTATAATTTTCCTTAGGCTGAGAAATCACCCATCCCTTATGACTATTTAAAATTTCAGGTGGTGTGTACTTTGTCTTACATTCTAAATCTAAAGATAGAGTCCAATTTTAAACTTCTTTCAGTTCAATTATAAATGTAATTATTCTGACCATTAGCTAGATAATTACTTGTTCTTTCTGTGTTGTCATTGCTTGATGAATCTCTTTGGAATGTTATTTCAGAAGAAGAAGGTATTAAGAGACAAACTTCCCAGGTCAATGTGATTCATTTATAAAATTTCCATTTAGTAATGGAGAGGATTTGGAAAATATTTGAAAATCTGTTCATTCCTTTATCAGTTAGGATCCAATCAGGAGACAGAAATCACACAATAAGTTGAAAAGGGAGTATTTAAAATAAAGAATTGTTAACTATAATGGAATTTGATGTAAAGGAGTAAAGAGTGCTGTGTACCAAAGAGATAAATCTCAAGGCTTGGATTCAGACCTCATTGGTGAAGGTATGATTGCAGACTACTGTATGGCAGAGAAGGTGGCAGGGTAACTCAGGTCAGATCTTGTTCCTAGTTATTGGGTAAGTAAGAAAAACCCCTTCAGGGTATAGAAGAGAAAATCCTGGTCAGTGCTGGCAAATAAAATACTTCTTTGGGTTGCTGGTAAGACGAGGCTGGGAACCAACCACTGACACTCATAAGCCTTAATAATAATTCACTTGTGGCAAATCACTCAATCCCAAGTGGGAAGCTGTCGGCTACTGCTAATACTTAATGAGGGTAGAGTCCACTGGTACCTCCCCGCTACCTTACATCATTCACATACTACTGACAATCATGTGAAGAATCAAACAGAAATTGCTGGGAATAAGAAGAAGAGCTTATTCCTCTCATAGTTTCTATTTCAGGACCTTCTAGTGGCAAAACTTAACATCATGACAACAGCAAAGGTTAAATATATAACTGGCCCATTTCAACTTTTGCAGAGCAGGCAATGAAAGGTGAATTTTGAGTTGAGTAAATACATTGATGACTAACACAATTACCATCATCAAATTCTACCCGAGATAGAAGGATGATGTGAAAGGTGAGAAAAAGCCAGGTAGAAACAAACACATGCAGCTTCAAAATAAAAAAATAAAGGCTATAGTAATTTATCTTTAATTAAACAAAAATTGTCTAAAATACATTGTCAGTATCCTGAAAAAACCTATTTTAAAGTTGACTTGTTGTCATTGTAGGCATTTATTTATTTGTTTATTAAAAAATTTTTCTTAAAATTCATTGGTTAGAGCTTTCCTAATTAAGTAAATGTGCCATTCAAATTCACAGAGAAGCCAATAGTGCAATAGGAAATATGGCATAATATAAAAGCCAAAGAAAGTAGTAATGCCTTTGCCAGTAAAGTTGGTAGACTTCATCAGAGGATAGTCATTGATTTATTTGCGCTTAAAAATAAATGTAAATTCATGCATCTGTTTCTTTACCAAGACATTTATTGATGTTGAATAGCGATGTACGTATTGAGAACAATTGCTTTGATAGCATACGACATATTATATCCTGAAGAGAGGGCTGATTACTTAAAATGAGATATCACTTCCAGTAAATCATAACTCCCATGGATTTTTGTATTGATAGAGAAAATTAAATAAAAATGAACTAGGTTACATTTTCCTTTCTTGTAAGTATCCGACTCTTTTTGAGCACAATAGCCCTTTAAATTATAAGCATTTGAAAGATAATAGTAGTTAGCTGAAGTGGAAACAGTTCTCTCTCTCTCTCTCTCTCTCACACACACACACACACACACACACACGCACACACATTTACAATCTTTCCTTTCTCTTATTCTGCAATATCTATTTCACACGTGTGCTTTTAAAAATTTTATTTGAACTTCCTTCAGTTATATGGTTTGGTTTGTTTAATTTCTATCACATATCTATCCCATGCTTTAGTTTTACAATTTCACAGCCCAGCGTATCTCCTCTTCATTGTATGTTTGCCTTTTGCAGGGCTGTCATTCAGGATCATCCAGGGGATAGAAGCCAACTTATTGTTTGAACAGAGAGAATTAATATAAGGAATTGTTCAGTAGGTATTGAGATGTCAAGTTATAAAAGATAAAACAAGAACTCTAAGTTATACCTGAGATAGCAATCGCAAGAGGTAAGTTCTCTATAGCTAGGTTACAAAGGGTAGAGGCTGGATATATTAAAACTTAGAAATTCAGAGGAAGTGCCCTGTGGGGCTTGGACTTGAACCTCTGAGGAGTGATAATTGACAATGTTAGTATCTCTCAGGTGAGTAAAGTTAAATCTTTTCTGAAAACATTGGGAAAATGGAAAAATGAATTCTGCTGCAACCGGACAGAATTACCACTGTCAGGATTAAGAAGACTTGACAGGGTTACTTTCAAAGAAAAAGAATATAAACAGGCAGAAAAAAACAGGAAGGGGCATGTACCTTCTTTCTCCTACAGACTTGCAGGATTTCTCTAGTTCTCACTAATGGCAGAGTCTAACTAAGAGCCAGCTGGAAAATAAAAATTTAGTTTCCAGATTTCAAGCCCCAACATTATCAATCAGATAATGGATGGGTAAGTTTGAAGCTGAGAGGAAATATCTAAATGAATGCTGGATGGTCTTTGAAATTGACCTACTATTTTTATAAATCAACTGACTATTAGAATACAGAAAAGCCATTATTCACAATTAGTATATATACTTATTGACACGCAAGATTTCATTTTTCTAACTTGGCATGACTGTTAAATAATAAACTTTAAATGTGAACACAGTGTATGCTATTTCCTTCCGTTCATTTCCAAGCTTAAAGCCTTGTAATTTCTGTTATCGTTGATGTTTCTGTCTCCTTAATGTCTAGTATACTCAATTAATTATTTATTCTTTGGAAATGTTAGTGCAATATTGGCATTACTTCTCTCTGAAGTGTTTGAAACAATTCATTCTTGATGTCTACCATTCCTGAACTTTTCTTTGTAGGAGGGCTATTATCGTTTCAACATTATTAATAAATATAGGATTATCCAAGTTTTCTAATTCTTCTTATGTCAATATCAGGAAGTTGTATTTTTTCAAGTGCATTATTTTTGTAAATAAATTATCTCCATAAAGTTGTCCAAAATATCCACTCAGTATCCCTTCAATGTTTATAGGTTTTGTGTTCCTGAATGCTTATATCTGACATTGTTAAATACCAATTGGTAATTGGTGATGCCTTCTCTCCATGTTATTAGTTCAGAATAACCTCGATTTCAAAGACTGGCAAGGACTTCACACAAAAGTTAAATAATAACAAAATCCCTCTTGTAAACATAAGCACAAAAATTGTAAACAATATTGTAGCAAAACAAATCTAGAAATATATAAAATATAGATAATATAAAATTTATTTATTCTAAGAGCTTATGTTTTATGTAATTATCAAAACAATATAATTAATTTACCATATTAACAAAATAAAGCAGAAAATGATATTATTTAAAAAGCATAATGTAAGCATTTCATAATATTTAACATATATCCATGATTTTAAAAAATATTTTAGTAAAGTAGGAATAAAATGAGCTTTCCTTAATCTGATAAAAGATATATTTTAAAATGTACAGGAAATGTAATATTTTTTAGTGAAATAGTTACAGTGTTTTTCCTTATATTGAGAATGAAACATGGATATCTGCTGTCACCTGTTGTACCCAACATATGGCTAGAGGTCGCACATACTACAATAAGGCAACAAAAATAAATGTTTAAAAGATAAGTATTGAGATGTAAGAAATAAAATTGTATTAAGCGACAGATGGTGATGTGATTTGGCTGTGTCCCCATCCAAATCTCATCTTGTAGTGCCTATAATCCCTATATGTCATGGGAGGGACTTGGTTGGAGGTAATTGAATCATGGGGGCAGTTATCTCCATGCTGTTGTCATGATATTGAGTTTTCACAAAATCTGATGGTTTTATAGTGGGCTTTTCACCCCCTTCACTCTGCACATCTCCCTGCTGCTGCCATGTGAAGAAGGACCTGTTTGCTTCACCTCCCACCATGATTGTAAGTTTTCTGAGGCCTTCCCAGCCCTATGGAACTGTGAGCCAATTAAACCTCTTTCCTTCATAAATTACTCAGTCATGGGTAGTTCTTCATAGCAGCATGAAAAAGGACTAATACAGATGGCTTAGTTGTGTACATAGGAAATCAAGACACTAGAGATAAACTGTTACGTTCAACCACATTAAAATGCTGATATTTTAACATTTTTACTTACCATAACAACAATCTCATGTGGTTCAAACTAATAGAATTGATAGAGGAATTTAACAAGATATCTAAAACAAACTAAATCAAAACTCTATAGTTTTAGATAAAGTCAAAAACAAATTAGAAAATAAAGTTAAAATTTCTACCATCGAAATTGTCTTATAATCATTGAAATAAATAAAAAGATTCTAAGGCTTCAAAAACTAAAAAACCACAAAATATGGCTGAAATAATGAAGTAAAATCTAAATAAATGTAACAACATGCCATGGCCATAAACTGAATGACTCAGAATTATAACGATATAATTTTTTCCTTAAATTGATCAAAAGTGTCAATGCAAGGCTAATTACACTCCAACATTTTCTGGTGGGTAAAGCAACTTTTAAATTTTATGTGGAAAGACAAAGGACCAGGAATAGCTACAACATTCTTGAAGAAGAATATATCAGGACTTGATATATAAAGACTTTTATAAAAATACAGACAGATAGACCAGTGGAAAAGTATAGGAAGCCCAGAAACAAAAGCACACGTATATGGTCATCTCATCTATGGTAAAGTGCCATTGCTATTCTGTGGGGAAAAAGGTAAGTCTTCCAATAAATGTTGCTTGCTAAAGTGTCTAGCAACATTTTTTTTAAGTTTGTTCTCCATGTCAAAGTAATTACTTCAACTTCAAGAGAATAATATATCTAAATGTCACAAGAAAAACATTAAAAATTAGAAGACTATTAACAGATTATCTTTATGATCTTGTGGAAGTTCATATTTCTTAAATGAGAAACAAAAGCATTAGCAATATAGGTACAGGTTGATATGTAAATATTCTATTTCTCAAAAAAAATAAGATGAGAAACAGAGGCCACTGAGTGAAGAAGATATTTGCAACATTATATATATATATATATATATATATATATATATGTTATATATATATATGCAATATATATAACATTGGAATTATATACATATATAAAACATTGGAATTATATATATAATATTTTTAAGTGCACTATTTTTGTAAAAAAATTACTTCCATAAAGTTGTTCAAAATATCCACTCAGTATCCCTTCAATGTTTATAGGTTCTGTGGTCCTATTTATGGAATAATATAGAAAGAATTCCTACAAATCACTAGTAACAAGGAGTCCAATTAAAAACATCAAAAAATCTGAATAGTCTCTTCACAAATGCAGATAACTAAGTAGAAATGAGGCATAGGTAAATATATATATATATATATGTATGTATATATATGTATATATGTATGTATGTATATGTATATATGTATGTATATATGTATATATGTATGTATATATGTATATATGTATGTATGTGTATATGTATATATGTATGTATATATGTATATATATGTATGTATATATATGTGTGTATATATATATACACATATATATAGCTCAATAAAATTAGTCATTAAGGAAATTCACACTAAAACCACAATAAAATACCAATATAATTCCCTCAAAATACCTAAAATTTTTAAAAATGATAGTACCATATATTTGTAAATTCATGGAGTAATTGGAATTTTCATACACTGACAAGTGGTGTGTGCATTTGTACAAACACTTTGGAACACTGTTAGGACTGTCCACGGCTAAAGATATATCTGGTAATTCCACTCATTCCTATCGCTGATAGTAAGATGAACCTACTGATACCAATAGACATGTACACAAGATTTCTAGCAACATTTTGTGTAAAAGTGGAAAATGTAAAATTATCCAAATGTACTTAAATGTGTTAGCAAAAAATAGATTTTGGTATATTCATACAATGGGTTAATACATAATAAAAATCCAACTATAGCTTCATGAAGCAACGTGGATAAATCTTCATGGAGCAACGTGGATAAGTCATATTATTGATTGAACAAAGACAGGCACAAAAAGCACATATAGTATGAGTCAATGTTTATCAAATTCAAAAATAGAAAAATCTAGTTTATGGTGATAAAATTCAGTATATAGTGCTTACTCTGTGGGAAATTAATGATAGGGCTACTTTTATGAGAGATTTTGGAAGTCTAAATGAGTATCATGTTGTGTTTATTTTGTGAAAATTAGTCAATCTGATGCTTAAGCTCTGTGTGCTTAACTGTATATATAATATATTTTATTTAAAATATTCAACTAAAAATTTTAAAATATTGTTTGAAGTTCAAAAAGGGTAATAGCTAAAGAGAGAGAGAGAAAGAAAGAGAAGGAAAACAAAATCCTTGGTTTCTTTTTTATTCACAATCCTTCTCATCACTGGTCCCCAACTGCCCCTGTGACTTTCTAGGACTCTGTCAACATAGATAAGAGTCATGTATTGGGTTAATTCCTTTAATTTTACTGACAAGAACACTGAACCTAGCAACATTAAAGGAAAGACAGGGGTCAAGGTCCCTTACTGTATGACAATGTCCTTAATTTTAAACTTTCTTTATGTGGCAAAGAAATAAACAAATCCCGCAAGCCATCCTTACTTTCAAATCTAAAGAGTATGTTTTCATTTTTTGCTGAGCGATCTTAGCTTCAGCACTTTGTCTTTTGAGGCTCTGTCTTGACTTGCTTATTAATTAGCACTTGTTGAAAAGAGGCCTCATGTGACCCCTCTGTGTGCGTTCTATCCTTTGGCATAGCAACACAATGACAAAGAGAGATCTGATTAAAAGAATCATGCTGGCTGTGACAGAAGAATATGTTGTAAGATATACTTAGAAATATTATAAGAGAACATGAAACATTAATTTCTAACTTACAAAAAATAAAGTGATTCAAACACTTTTTGAACATATCTGGGAGTCCTTGATTTAGATACAACGGTTTCTATCCTCTTCTATTGTTTTCTGTCTATTGCTTATTTTGCCATTTGATTTGTGGCAAAAAAAAAAAAAAAAAAAATCAAGGCCAGGTGCGGTGGTTCACACCTAATCCCGGCACTTCGGGAGGCCGAGAGGGGCAGATCACAAGGTCAGGATTTTGAGAACAGCTTGGCCAACATGGTGAAACCACGTCTTTCCCAAAAATACAATAATTAGTCAGGCGTGGTGGTGGGCGTCTGTAATCCCAGCTACTCAGGAGGCTGAGGCAGGAGAATTGCTTAAACCCAGGAGGCAGAGATTGCACCGAGCTGAGATCGTGCAACTGCACTCCAGACTGGGTGACAGGGCAAGGCTCTGCCTCAAAAAAAAAAAAAAAAAAAAAAAAAAAAAAGTCAGCACTGTCTTGAGTTTACCAGGATGGCAGCTGAAAAGTAGTTTCATAACCTTCATATTAGACTGCTCATAATACCTTTTCTGCTGTATCTTCAGAGGCCATGTGAAGATTCACTGTTTTTTTTCAAGTGTGAAATGCTGAGTTTTGACTAAAGGACAGAAGATAACATTTAAAAAAATATTTTTGGCCAGGCGCAGTGGCTCACGCCTGTAATCCCAGCACTTTGAGAGGCCGAGGCAGGCGGATCAAGAGGTCAGGCGATCGAGACCACCCTGGCTAACACGGTGAAACTCCGTCTCTACTAAAAATACAAAGAAAATTAGCCAGGCTTGGTGGCGGGCACCTGTAGTTCCAGCTACTTGGGAGGCTGAGGCAGGAGAATGGCGGGAACCTGGGAGGTGGAGCTTGCAGTGAGTTGAGATCACGCCACTGCACTCCGGCCTGGGTGACAGAGTGAGACTCCATATCAAATATATATATACGTGTGTATATATATATATGTGTATATATATATGTGTGTGTGTATATATATATGTGTATGTGTATATATATATATATTTGTGGTATGTTCCTTCAATACATAGTTTTTTGAGCACTTTTAACATTAAGCGATGTTGAATTTTATTGGAAGACTTTTCTGCATCTATTGAGATAATCATGCAGCTTTTGTCTTTAATTCTGTTTATATGATGAATCACATTTATTGATTTACATATGTTAAACCAACTTTGCATCCTGGAGATGGAGCCTACTTGATTGTGGTGGATTCGCTTTTTGATGTGCTGCTGAGTTCAGTTGGCAAGTATTTTGCTGAGGAGTTTTGCATCAGTGTTCATCAAGGATATTGGCTTGAAGTTTTCTTGTTTTGTTATTGTGTCCCTAAGTAATAAAAGCCATCTATGACAAACCTACAGCCAACATTATACCAAATGGGCAAAAGCTGGAAGCTTTTTTTTAAAAAAATAAAATAAAATTAATGTACAAAGGTTACTAGCATTTCTATAAACCAAAAACAGCCAAGACGAGAGCCAAATCAGAAAGACAATCCTATTATCAATTGCCACAAAAGGAATAAAATACCTATGAATATAGCTAACCAGGGAGGCAAAAGAGCTCTACAGTGAGAACTACAAAATAACTGCTCAAAAAAATCAGAGGAGACAGTAACAAATGGAAAAACATCCCATGCTCATGGAGAGGAAGAATCAATATAATTAAAATATCCATACTGATCAAAGCAATGTAAAGATACAATGCTATTCCTATCAAACTATCAATGGCATTCTTCACAGAACTAGAAAAAACTATTTTAAAATTTATATGGAACCAAAAAAAAAAGTCTGAATAGATAAAGCAATCCAAAGCAAAAAGAACACAGCTGGAGGCATCATATTACTCGATTTTAAACTATACTGCAGGGCTACAGTAACCAAAACAGCATGCTACTGGTACAAATGGACACACAGATCAATGAAACAGAATAGAGAACCCAGAAATAAAGCCACACACCTACAACCACCTGGTATTCAACAAAGCTGACAAAATCAAGCAATGTGGAAAAGATGCCCTATTCAATAGATGGTGCAGGGATAATGAGGCAGCTATATGCAGAAGACTGAAGCTGGACCCCTTCCTTACACCATATACAAAATTCAACTCAAAATAAATTAAAGACTTAAACGCAAAACTCAAAACTATAACAACCCTGGAAGACAACCTAGACAGTACAATCCTGGACATAGGAATGGACAAAGATTTTATGACAAAGATGCCAAAAGCAATTGCAACAAAAGCAAAAATTGACAAGTGGGATCTAATTAAACTTAAGAGCTTCTGCACAACAAAAGAAGCTATCAACAGAGTAAACAGACAACCTACAGAATGGGAGAAAATTTGTATACAGTATACATCTGACAAAGCTCTAATATCCAGCATCTATAAGAAATTTAAACAAATGTACAAGACAAAAACCCTAGTAAAAAGTGGGCAAAGGACATGAACCGACATTTCTCAAAAGAAGTCATACTTGCAGCCAAGGAGCATATGAAAAATGCTCAACATCACTGATTATTAGAGAAATGCAAATCAAAATAAAATTACCATCTCATACCAGTCAGAATGGTTATTATTAAAAAGTCAAAAAACAACAGATGCTGGTGAGGTTGTGGAGAAAGGGAAACATTTATACACTGTTGGTGGAAGTGTAGATCAGTTCAACCATTGTGGAAAGCATTACAGTGATTCCTCAAAGAGCTAAAAGCAGAACTATCATTTGTCCCAGCAATCCCATTACTGGATATACACCCAGAGGAATATAAGTCAATCTACTATAAAGACACATACATGCGAATGTTCATTGCAGCACTATTCACAGTAGCAAAGACATGGATTCAACCTAAATGCCCATCAATGACAGATTGGATAAAGAAAATGTGGCACATATATATGTAGAATACTATGCAGCCATAAAAAAGAACACGATCATGTCTTTTGTGAAAACATGAATGGAGCTAGAGGGCTGTTATCTTCAGCCTACTAATACAGGAACGGAAAACCAAATACCCCATATTCTCACTTATAAGTATGAGGTAAATGATGAGAACTTATGAACACAAAGGAGGAAACAACAGACCCTGGTGCCTACTTGAGTGATGATGGTGGGATGAGAGAAAAAAGCAGAAAAGATAACTATTGGCTACTGGACTTAATTCCAGGATGATGAAATAATCTGTACAACAAACCTCCACGACATAAGTTTACTTATGGAACAAACCTTCACATGTACCCCTGCATGTAAAATGAAAGTCTGTAAAGTTCAGAACCACTTGCAATTGGCAAAACACAGAATGTTTGTTATTTTAACAAGAATCACATTATCAATGAACAATATTGCTACATTTGCTACAAAGGCATTTAAAATATTTTCTTTTTAATACCCCAGTTCTCAATTTATGTTCCAAAAGCTGAAACAATTCTTTTTGATATGTTTCTATGCCATCAAATTACCTAATAACTTATTCTCTACTAAACTGTTAACTAATATCTAATCCTGATAGAATAAAATATAATACATTTTAAAATTTCAAAAGAATTTTTTTTGTTAACTCTACATGGCCTGTGTGTATTCAGTGAGAAATTTCTTACCTGACTTGCCAACCTGTGAGATATCAATCTTATTTAGAGCCTCCTATGCTAAATGGTTATCAGTTAAAATGGGTGAGTTTTATGATCTTTAACGTGGAAAGTGCTTGGGATTTGTGTGGTTTTGAAAGGGTAATTCAAGGCAATAATATAATAGTCATTTATAGTAGTAATCCCCAGGGATGCTGCTGTACATATGAGTGTGTCTATGTGATTTAGTCAGAGCAATAGGAAAAATAATTATTTGACCTTTCATTGAACTCTCAGCTGTTATTTACATTATAACTACATTTCTAATATGTATAGAAACACTAGAAGCGATTTAAGTTTTTCCACGTCTCCTGCAAGATGTGAAAAATCAGTATGTTTAAGTCCTAATACTATGTGAAAAATGGATAGAACTTAGTATAGAGGATGATTGTTTACAAGATTCTAATTTTCTCCCAAATTCCAACCTCTTTTACATTGTACTCATCCCTCTGGGCGGGGGTGGAACAAACCTGTAAAATAATTTCTTTCTTGTTCTGACTCTCTATTCTCTTTTGAGACCAAACATTTTCCCTTGTTCGTTTTCTTTTCTTTTCATCGCCCCACACCTAAACAGCCGTCCCTTCTACATTTTTCCTCAAACTGTCATTTAAAATATATATTTTTCCAGTGAGGTATTACTTGTAAAGAGTTGAGGCTATATTTCTAAGAGATTATTATATATAAATGTCCCTAAAAAGGATCACTAAAGTGCAGTTTCTGGGCCCCAACTTAGGTACTTTGCTTGAATAGGTAAGAAGTATTTCTTAGGAATCTCCAATTTTAGCAAGCTGAGATTTCTGGAAATATTTACATACACAGAAAACCCTTGGACCAAGTCTTCAAGATCTTAGAGATACGTAGTCTGTCTAAGGTTCTGTACTTCAAACTCTGTAAGCAAGTTCCTCTCTGCCTACTCCCAAGACAAGCCAGCCCTCTCCTTAGTACCTCCCACTGAGTCATGAAAGTTAGAGGATTCTTTGAGAGTAATTTATTCATACATATTCCAACAGCCACATACTCATTCAACAAATATTGAGTCCCTCCTTTGTGGACGCAACTCTATGTTTTTGAATTGTATCAGTAAATAAAACACAGCAGTTTTTGTCCTCATAGATCTTTCTTTCAAGAAGGGGAGATAGCCAATAAAGAGCATACTAAATGTACTATACATACATAACATACAATGAAATGGATTTTTTTTTTTAGACGGATTCTTGCTCTTGTTGCCAGCCTGGAGTGCAGTGGTGTGATCTCAGCTCACTGCAACCTCCAACTCCTGAGTTCAAGCAATCCTCCTGCCTCAGCCTCCCGAGTAGCTGGGACTACAGGCATGCGCCACCACACCCAGCTAAATTTGTATTTTTAGTAGAGACGGGGTTTCAACGTGTTGGCCAGGATGGTCTCTATCTCTTGACCGCGTGGTCTGCCCGCCTCGGCCTCGCAAAGTGCTGGGATTACAGGCAACAGCCACTGTGCTCAGCCGAAATGTCAGTTTTACAGTATGTTATATAGTTGCTGGGTGAAAGAAAGAGTAGAGAAGGCTAAGGAAGCTGAGGAATGTAAGTTCATTGGGACAAGATAACATTTTAAATAGGGATTAGGTAAACCCCATTGAAAAAGTGACATTTAAACAGAGATTTGAAAGGGGTAAGGGAGAGAGGCATGCGGGCATGCGGGAAAAGAATGTTCCAGGAAGAGCGGAAGAAGGAACAGTGGGTGTAAATATCTTTAAGAGTGTGCTCAAGGTGTTCAAGGAATTCCATGATGGCTGATGTGTCTCATGTGGAAAAAGTAAGCGGACAGTAGCCTGTGAGGACTTGAGCAAAATATCAGGCAATGAAACCATCTAACACATTTTGATCCATTGTAAGGACTTGATATTTACTCTGAATGATATCAGGAACCACTGTAAGATTTTAGGCAGACGAATAACACATTCTACCTTACATTTTAGAAAGATAATTCACGGATTAGTTTTAGAGAGTGCAAACTACTCATCTGTAGTAATAGATAAAGGAATCCCCAGTTTGGAACAATACAATTTAAGTTGATTCAAACCGTGACTTTGAAAAATAAGAATTGGTGGTTAGTAAAACTGAGGGAATGGAGAGGTTATGGTTATTTTTAGTGCCAAGGACTAGAATGACAATGAGAGTGAGTGGATGAAGAAGAAGGAAGACAGAATCTTTGGAGAAGAGAATTTCAAAAAACTGAGAGGCCAGTGGTGAGAAGCCGCCTCTACAAACTCAGAAAAAATAACAAAGAGCCAACAGCTAAAGCTGTTATCAAGAAGTGAAGCACAATAACTTGGGAATCAGCAAATGACATGATACTCAAAGTCGAAAATATTTACAGAGTGCATAATGTAGTAGAGTACAAAACAACTATAAGAGATGTCCTTGGCTAGGGACAAGGACAAGAAGGACATCTAACCCTGGTGGCCAGATGTGGCAAAGTTTTCCTACTATTACTCACCACTGGGCCTCTCTCTATCACTTAATAATCCTAGTAACAGTACCCATGCCTCTGTAACTAACACCTTCATTAAACTCACTTAGTTAGACCTTTATGAATGTATTGTTTCTTTTCTTCTGATATCCTAATCTATACAATTCCAGAGGTTAATGTGAGAAGAAGTTAGCTCTTTAACATTAAAATCTTTCAAACAGGAAATGAAGAATTGTTTTTCAACGATGTAGGGGAAAAGAATTTCTCCATCGGGTTGCAAGTTTGTCTGGATGTCCTCCAAGTTTCTTTCTAATTTTAAGACTGTGATATAAAATGGGATGCATTCCAGAAAATGGTGCATTAAATACATCACGAATACATAGAGTTGTTTCATAATTCTCATTTTTAAGATGTATTTCCAGCACTAAAAATTAGAAGTGTCTCCACTCTTCTAATTCTGTGGATTCGTGATATTACTTGGCTGTAGGTCCTTCCAACTAGCATTGTTGAAGAGCTGATCTATTCTAATGGATTTCAGTGATGTGCGTTCTAACCTTCATGGCATCAAAGGACTTTCAACCATCTCAATCAGTCTGATGATTTTTGTCCTCTAAGTTTTTGGAAAGGACCTTCAACCATCTCAACCAGTCTGATGATTTTTGTCCTCTAAGTTTTTAGATATTTTATTGAAGTCACATTGAGAAGCTCTAAATCTCGTTTTTTAAAAAACATTCAGCTGACTAAACTTTTCATTCTTTGGAATTTTTTTCTTTAACATTATCATTTCTACATTGTTAGTCAGCCATTATGGATTAACATTACTAGTAGAATACAAAACAACTACAAGAAATAGAGGACCTTGTGTACAATAAGCACTATACACTACTGATCTCACATAATACATAAATAAGATATCCAAAACTTTTTCTGAGAACATTGTTCATATGATGGTATGTATTGTTTATTGGGAGAGAGTGTAGGGGACTATCTGTTTTATACATTTTTATTGCCTGAAAGCTAAATAGTTCCCTGTACCATCAGATAACATACTTAACAATATACAGAAATATAGTAATAAATTTTTCTGCATATATTTGTCAACATATGTGTATTTGAGTCTATAAGAAAATATGAATGCCAACTGAGTAGCATAAATTAAGGAAGTGCAGATATTGATTTATTACCATATCTAATTAATTATTGAAGAAAAGGAAATTTGGAGAGGGGGATTATAAAAATTAGCTGAGTATCTACTTTGTGACAGTTGCAAAGTTATGCATATTTTGCCTACTACTTAATTTGATTTTTGCAAAATCCCTGAGTGGTAGATATGCTTATGTCCATTTCACAAGCAAGCAAAATAGCTAGGAAATATCATATACTTTCCAAAATATGATAAAAACTCATCTAAGATTTAAATCTGGGTCAGCCTGAACCCAGATCCCATGTTTTTTGTTTGTTTGTTTTTTTATGACATCATGTGATTTGCTTTTGTGAAATGATTAACCATCCAGCTATCTTAAGTCCTATGAATTTCTACATCTTTTGCTTTACAAGAAGAAGGAAAAGGAGGAGGAGGGAGAAAAGAAGGACAAGGAAGATAAGAGGATCAAGAGGATGAAGAGGAGAGATAAAGAGAAGGAGAGAGAGGTATGTGTTTGTATTAGAATCCATATCATGTGCAACAAAGTAATGTGAATATCATCTTATTTTACATTAATAAGCAATTAACATCAATTACATTTTGATTCAGATGTTTTTGAATCTTTGATTTAGGGTTGAAGATCATTGGTAAATTACACCAATTCATTCATTTAAAAATTTTCCCTATGGAGTAATGTTTATGGTGATATATAACTAAATGAATATAGATTATATTTGAGACATCAAAGGACACCAGTGTGTGCTGCATTAGTGGAGATTTTATTCATTGGAAAAAGACATAAGCCAACTCAGGCTTTCAGCAAACATTTGAAAAGACTGGCACAAAGATTTGGAGGCAACGGCTTAAAACAGGACTTAGAACCAAAACAGGTGTGCAGATATAGCCAGCGGTTGAATTTCTGGCAGTGAGAAACGAGGTAAGGATTTAGGTGCAGGAACTAGGTTGAAGGTCAATGAGTGAACCACAGCAAAAATGATAACTGAATCACTGGGTAGCAGGATTAAAGCTCCTTATATTCTCCCTCACAAAAGGAATGAAGAGATTTATAGAATGACGAAGACTTGGCAAACCTTGAGGGCTCCAAAGTATGTTGGATAACTGATCCAAGATCAACAAACTGGGCTGTTCCTTACAGAAGTGATTATATTCTCCATTTGCCTATGGCCCAAACCAATTGCAATGTTTATTTTGGGTTAACATAGATTATAGCATAAGACTCTATTATGGAAAACACAAAGATTATATCACTGCAATCAATAATTTTTCTTTTACCTGACTTCTACAAAATTTGTGAATTTCTACACAATTTTGAACACCTTTCTCTAGATCTCTAATTTATTTTCTGGATATGTTGAACCCCTTGCCTAAATGCAACTGAGGCAAACTTTTTTTTCCTTTTACTCAGATATACCAAAGAAGCAAATGCATTGTGAACTCTTCCCCTTTTTTACTGAGTTTCATTTTCTTTGTCTTTCTTTTTCTTTTTCTTTTTTTTAAGACCTTGTAGCAGTTTAATCATATGCCTTTGGAAGTTCTCCAGCACACTTGTAAAAGGAAATGACAAGCATCTAGAATAATTTATCCCTTTAGAAGAGAAAAACGCTATTTCTTTAGTTCCATCAACTAAGCTTTGACTCCACAAATTTAGGCATTGTCAATAGAGAGAAATTTCATCATCTCCTCCTAACCTCTCTACCATAAACTATATTTTCTCTTTTATACCTGATAGAAAATTATCTGACTTTATGTATATCAGTGATTATATATATATATATATATATATATATATATATATATATATATATATATTTTTATACTGGTCCTTGAGAAGTTAAGGTAATTCTGGGAAACAATAGGTTTATTTATGCTTGAGGTTTACATGTGATTATAATTTCCCAGTGAAGGTTATAAGAAAGGCATTAACTGAAACAACTTTTTTTAAGAGATGCTTTTTTTGGTATGCTTGTATATTTTTGACAAATTCTTTTTTGTTTTTAGATATGTGGAGATTTGATACTCATCTTCTGGAGTAAATCAATGGATCATTTATTTTTGTATCTTTTCTAGATATTTAAAAATAATACTTATAATGGAATTACAATTATGTCCTACTGTGTGGTAGCCAACATTAAGGTGTTTTTCATACAACATCTAGTGTTTTTTAATCACAATAACCTCTCAAAAGGAGAGTAGCCTCAGGGATATTAAATAATTGCCTAAATTACTATCACTGTTAAAGGACAACTTCTCTTCTTATCCTTCCTTGGAATGTAAAAGCACACTCCCTTAATCAGAAAGGAGCTCTAATTTTACAGCTTCTACATATGACTAGATATTTGTTATAGAATCAAACAACTGATTTTGAAGAGTTCTTTAACAATGTTACTGATATTATTATACATATTATAGATATTTATGGGGCACTTGTGGTATTTGGGTACATGAATACAATGTGTAATGATCAAATCAGGGTATTTAGGATATTTATCATTTCTTTGTGTTGGAAATATTTCAAATTTTTTCTTCCAGTTATTTTGAAATATACAATAAATTGTTAACTAAAGTCACCCAACCGCACCATCAAACACTAGAATTTACTCCATCTGTCTAACTGTATGTTTGTACCCATTAGCAACCTCTTCATACGCCCTCACACATCCTTCACAGCCTCCAGTAACTATCATTCTACTCTCCACCTCCATGAGATTCACTTTTTTTTTTTTTAGCTCTCACTTAAGGATAAGAATACACAATATTTGTCTTTCTGTGCCTGGCTTCTTTCGCTTAACATAATGATTATAGTTCCATCCATGTTGTTGCAAATGACATTTCCTTCTTTTTTGTGAATGAATAGTATTCCATTGTGTATATATACCACCTTTCTTTATTCACTCATTTGCTAATGGACACATAGGTTGATTCATATTTTGGCCATTGTAAATAGTGTTACAATTACCATGGAGGTACAGTTATTCATTTGGTATACTGATTTCCTTTCTTTTGGATAAATATCCAGTAGTGGGGTTACCAGATTGTATAATGATTCTATTGTTAGTTTTTTGAGGAACCCTCGTACTGTTTTCCGTAATGGCTATACTAATTTACATTCCCAACAATTAACAGAGTGAAGAGACAAAATCTGTGGAATAGGAGAAAATATTTACAAACTATTCATCTAAGGGACCAATATTCCAAAGAGACAAGGAACTCAAATAACTCAGCAGCAAGAAAACCCCAATAATCCGATCAAAAAGTGGACAAATTATCTGAATAAACATTTATGAAAAAAGACATACAAATGGTCAACAGTTGTATGACTTTGAGGTCTTAATTGATTTTCTGCTGAATGTTTAGTGTCTCATGCTTGTCGTGGGGTATCATTTAGTTGACTTTACATCACTAGAGTTGTATCATTTTTGTTTCCTTGATTTGCAAAAATAATCTGTCAAATCCACAAATTCACTGAAAAATATTAATATTGGCCCAAACTGTCAAATAGGTTATTTAGAACAAGATAGATCTAACATGTCATTGTTTTACCTCTTGTTGCCCTTTTTGTTTTTCGTGTTTTGCTGTTTTCCTTGAACAGGTACTATGATATTGGGTCAGTTATGGCCACGTTAAAACCTTACAGAAAGATGGCTAAAAGAGTAGCTGGCATTTTATAAATGGAGTATGTGGTGGAGAAAGGTGAAGAGCTTTACTTAATATACTGGAAGAATAATCAGAAAGGGGAAACTGTATCTAGTTTCTTTGATTTTTAGTAAAGTTCATATGAAGAGAATTATCCTCAACTATTCTCTACAATGGAAAGCTTTGCTATAATGACAGTTCATTTAAGAATTGTCATGTGTGAAGTTAAAACAACTTTATGGAGAAGTATAGCAACTGCTCCTTCCATGAAAAAAATTATGTTATTAGTTACAAAAAATGTATCCAAATATCTTTCATATCATATTTGTTTATGGATGCTAATGGCATTTTGGAACAATGAAGGCATTCCATCTGGCAAATAGGTGAAAGGCAAATCTTAACACAAATATCTTCATGTCAATATAATAGCAAAACATTCACTGGCTTGTAGGTTACCTTGTTATTTGTTATGACTTTCCGTCAGATTTTCATGGGCACATTTTCTTAAACAGAAAATGTTTTTCTTAAACAGAAAAAGTTTGAAGAAGTTTTCCTACAACCACATGGCAAGACTTTAAATGTTTTATTATCTATTCTCCTGTTTGTGTTGCCTATACACTGCACACTTTGATTGAAGTATTTTTATATGCAAAGAGAAGAAAACAATATATAAAATCAGTTGTGTCCAGATGAAAGAAGTGAACTTCAGCAATGGCAAAGAAATTTGGCTAACAGGAGGGCAAATAGTTACAGGTTGATTCTTTTGATTGGAGACCTTAATTTGAAGTCCAATATGAGCTAGATGGGCACTTTGCACAGAGCCACACAGCTGCATCATTTCCTTTAGAGTTAGCTAGTAAGGACACTGGAGTTTTTCAGGTAAGATCTGGTGGCTTGAACATGCTGTGAACAAACTCTTCTGCAGGCCTCTGTAAAATATTATAAAATGTATAAAATGTATAAAAATTGTAAATGAGTCAATTTTTACATAAAAGATTACCAGGGTAACTCTTAATCTACAAGGTGGTTTTAAAACTAGCTACCTGTATGGAAATAACTTATTATCCTTCTTCCCCAAAGCTAGCATTAAAATACCCTTCTCTATCTCTGAAGATTCATAGCTATATTCGAGTTTAGGAAATGGGATTAGGAGAAGCAAAGAAAGTTGGTGTAAGGAGCAGAAGATCTCACTTCTGACTCTGTCTCCAAGTTTGAGTCAAATTGTGTTCCCTTGCTCCATCTCAGTTTTCTCATTTATAATGTGTGGAATTAAACTAAATGAACTCCGCATATTCTCACTCATAGGTGGGAATTGAACAATGAGATCACATGGACACAGGAAGGGGAATATCACACTCTGGGGACTGTGGTGGGATGGGGGGAGCGGGGAGGGATAGCATTGGGAGATATACCTAATGCTAGATGATGAGTTAGTGGGTGCAGCGCACCAGCATGGCACATGTATACATATGTAACTAACCTGCACAATGTGCACATGTACCCTAAAACTTAAAGTATAATAAAAAAAATAATAAAATAAAAAAAATAAAATAAATTAAAAAAAAAAAAAAAAAAAACTAAATGAACTCAGAAGTGCTCTGAAGCTCTAGCGCTTTGCCACATGTTTTTCTTCACAAAACAAGATGTTGTACTCTTGCTTACATTTTTTCCTGTCATTATCCAGGGAGTTCAGGAATAAAAATGTCTTATCTTGGTTATTTGTACTCATCTTCAAGCTCATCATTTATTGTGATCCCATGTTTCTCGGTGGCTGGTTGGTGTTCCATTTTCAGTTGAAGAGATGCCTGCTGTGGTATCTCTTCTTTTTCCTTGTCATATTAATATTGGATGATGATGATAATGATAAGCATTGGAAGAAAGGAACAAATTTGTCTTTCAAGAAGAGCAGAGGGACATACATGCTCAAATATGCACACAAGAGAACATGAGAATAAAAAAGAAAGATAAAATGTATCCAGAAATGGTCTTAGAAAAGAAAAGCAGTTTAACCTAGTTTTGTCACTCATAAGTGTTGAGAATACTGAATGATTGTTTACTAACATTGGTTTCAACTTCCTTCTAGTGTGCTGCTAAACTTACATGCCACAGACTCTCTTGCATGTATTATTCTGAATGGAATGTAAGTTTCACCTTTAAGTGCTCTTAAACAAAAGGAATCTGAAGTAAGGAGAAACAAGGCATGAGCTTCTGTTTTACATGCAGAAGTGGTGAGGTTTTAAACCCATCAACTCTAAAATTATTTCCTAATTGAATGAGTTCCATGTCAGGGAAGAAACATGGGAAAACACTGTAACCCAGTTTTGGGACATTTCATATGGAATTCATCCTTAAACTTCACCGATTGTCTGCTTCTCTGCTAACAATTCTGTAAGCCATTTACAATGCCACAGCAATGACTTTTAAATTAATTTCATTAGAGCTGATTCTAGTTTCTTCAATCAAGCCCTAACTTACCTTTGTACACTATGTAACTTCTGTAAGTCCGTGTTTATTCCTCTAGCAAATGTGAGAAAAATAAAAATATTTTATCAGATTGTTGTTTGCGTATTAGGTAAGAGAGTATATGAGAAATACTTAGCAAAATGATTGATATATATTAAACCTTCAATAAGACAGTATATGAGAAATACTTAGCAAAATGATTGATACATATTAAACCTTCAATAAATATTTGCTATTGTCATAATTATTACTCTCAGAGAAAACAGCATTTATCTTATTTTTTCTACCCTAATTATGCCTTGATGCAAATTAGCATAAAACAATATTTTATTATGTCATGAATCTAATATTTAGGGATTCAGAAATGAACATTGGATTGCATTTGTCTGCTACAAATATCTGGAGCTCCAGAGGATATTCAAGGCAGAATTGAGTCAATGTCAGGGCATTGTTATCATCTCAAGACTCACCTACTGACAAATCTGGTGCCTGGACTTAAAAATAACCATCTATTTTGTTAATCTTAAGAGATTAAGGCTAATCTAAAATGTTTTTTCTTACTTTAATATATATTTCTGTTTCAATCATAGAGACCATCTCATGAACACTTTTGAAATCAATATATGAGCCATAGCAGTAAAGAAACATTTTTAGCAGAAATTAATTAATTGTGAAGTATGAAAGTGAAAAATGAGAAAGTAGAAAAGATAAACAAGTTATAGCATAAATTAAGATCAAGGATAAAGGCAAATGCATAAATATCAAAGATATGGAGTTCAGAATTTTGCCAAAGGGATTGAAAAAAAGTATCATAAAAAGGCATCTGGCATCTGAAGATATGTCACACTACAGACGCATGTCATAAATGCAGAAAAATATTTTAAATTTTAAAATTAGATTTGACATTGGGATCTCTTCTGTTCTCAGTATGAGAAACAATTTGATGGGAATATTTAAACTATATTCAGCAGTATATATAAACTATATAAACTAAATTTACCAGAAGAGAGAAATAGAAGATTGGTTTTTTCTAGTTATTTAAAAAAACAATTTTCATAGGTTCATCAGATAGTTAGCCTTCCAATGATAATTTACATAAATGAGTCAGATTTCTTCCTTGTTCCCAGATAAAGATAATATTTTAAACATGATAAAATATTGAGATTTTTTTCAGAGTTGTCACCCAAGTATACTTTTTTTTCTTTTTTTGAGACCGTGTCTCACTCTGTCATCCAGACTGGAGTGCAGTGGCACTACCTCGGCTCACTGCAACCTCCACCTCCTGGGTTCAAGCGATTCTCCTGCCTCAGAGGTATACCTCCTCCTCAGAGGTAACATCCCTCTGGGGAGGTTGAGGTGGGCCGATCACAAGGTCAGGAGATCAAGACGATCCTGGCTAACATGGTGAAACCCCATCTCTACTAAAAATACAAAAAAATAGCCGGGCGTTATGGCACGCCAGCCTGTTATCCAAGTATACTATTATACTAAGAGGCTGAAGTCTGTGAGTGGAATTTGTGCTATTGGTTGTTTGGATGGTGAGTGATATATTCCATTCTTTGTCCAACATCCTTGCTTGTCTCACAATTGTACTGCCATATGTCCATACTGCTTTCTCTATGTTTATATCATAGTCTTAAAACTGACTATCTTAGTGTGGGCTGCCATTAACAAAATAACATGTATTGGATGGCTTAAAGAATACATTTATTTTCTCATAGTTTTGGAGGAAAGAAAGTCGAAGTTCGAGGCTCCAGGTGACTCAGTTCATGCTGAGAGCCCTCTTCCTGGTTGGTAGGTGGCCAACTTCCTGTTAGGTCCTCACATGGTCTTTTCTCAGTAGGTGCAAGCCTCTTATGAGATCATTATTCCTGAGACCATTATTCCCGCATGAAAGCATTACCCTCATGAATTCATTTAATTTTAATTGACTCTCAAAGGTTTCATCTTCAAATACCATCACAGTAGAGGTTAGGGCTTAATTCAACATATAAATTTTGTGTGGACATAGATATTCAGTCTATAACATTGTCTTATAATTTTAAAATTACCCAAATACCACATTTGGGTAACAGAGAGAGACCAAGAGACAGAAAGAAAGAGAGAGAGTGAAAAAAGAATAAACAGAAAATAAAACCATGGATTATGATCCTATGGGATTTCATGTTTCTCCAGCACTTCTTCCCCAAGATTGAAGCACTCATCACCACAGCTTCAGGAGTGATGGTAGCTGATAGATTTTAGCTAAGTCTTTTTCTGGTACTTGGACTGGGCTAAAGAGCTGTCTCACTCAAAGTTATAATTGGCAGATGCAGGGGGATAAAGCTTTTGTCCCATTTCTCCAATTTAGGATGACTTCAAAGAGCGATATCAGCCATATAAGCCTCATATCAACCTCATGTAATCAACTGAGGTCTTTGTTTCAACTTCATCACAGTCCAGTTAACACTCTTCCCCGTCCTGCTTCCTTTACCTCCCTAAACACATTGATCTCAAGAGCACTCCCTAATGAACTTTCTACTTGCAAATCTCTGAGTAAGACCCTGCTTCCTAAGAAACCTGGAATCAGAAATAGTTAAAGAAAGGCCTGAAAAGAGGAATTTCGAGCTGTGCCAACCACCAGCTCACCAGCAATCAGAGCCCTACCACTGGTGATAGTCCATAATGAAGCATAAGGAAATATTAAAATTTTTCATTATGAATAGCCCATAGCAGATTGCCATGCTGCAACTTTACAGCTTCAGCTGGAGGTTAACTGGGGTAATAGATCAAGTGGAAGAGAATGAACTGACAAGCAGAATATTTTCAGCATTTGATAAATATGAGGACAATTGTAATAATGAGTATGGAACTGGGACATTTGACATATTGAGAGATAAAATGAAAAGCCAGGAATTCTTAATAACAAATAAAGGTAGAAGGCCTCCTAGACAGCATTAAAAAGACTCTAATTTCCTTCAAGCAGAAGATAGAAAAATCTTGGGATTTTATGGAGAAAGAAAATCTTAAGCTCATTACTTAATAGTAAAAGTAGCACAGTTCTTGAGATATTTTAATTCTCAATCCGGATCCCTGTCAGATGTGAAACCTGAGATATGGAACAATGACACCAACATCAGTGTAAGTTTTGGGGCTTGCAAAAGTTGCCCCATGTATCCCTCTTAAAGGTGTGAATACCCCATTTACCTGAAAACAATACCAAGGCTTGTGACTTACAAGACAACACATCTCTCCTTCAGATCCACTGCTCATCCCCTCCTGGCCAGCAGACCAGTAGTTATGGTTAAGGCCACAAAAGCCACCACCTGATTTGTCCTCTGGGAGTTACTAGAGGACACTCATTTACCAAAGCTCTACTGAGAAACGAACTGACATCATGGAGAAGTTCAGTGGTGGCTGTCCTTTGTAAGATAGAGCTTGTGGTAAGAGATGTTACATAAATAGGATCTCTGGTTGCAATGGATATTATAAAATACTAAAAATAACGAAATGAAGATGGTAGTATTTACCCAAAGAAACAAGGTAGATGCACTTATTGTAATGACTAGCAAGATCAAAGAGTCGACTGTGGACTAACTCACAGAGAGCTATAGAAATAGTTAATGGAGCAGACATCTATAGACGCAGATTAGATGGGCAGTCAACACGAGTGTTGCTCAGTCTCTACATCCAAAAGAAATAATGCATGGGTAATCAAGAAGCTGAGTAAAGCCACTGCAGCAAAAAGACACAATTCCTTGCTCCGTTTCCAGATCTGATTTAGTTTCTAGAATGCAGAACCACTGACTGAAGAATAAGCAGGCTCCCTAGGAGGAATGTTCCTACAACATCACAGTAAATGTACTGATAGGTTAATGATTCCTCAGTGTTCCCCCAAAGTTACATATGGCAATTTACTTGGGTAACTGCGTACCAGGTAAAGGCTAATAAGCAGACTTTTTTTTTTTTTTTTTTAATTGAGACGGACTCTTTCTCTGTTGCCAGGGTGGAGTGCAACAGCGTGATCTGGGCTCACTGCCTCCCAGGTTCAAGCGATTCTCCTGCCTCAGCCTCCAGAGCAGCTGAGATTATAGCCTGGTTAATTTTTGTATTTTTAGTAGAGACGGGGTTTCACCAAGTTGGCCAGGCTGGTTTCGAACTCCTGGCCTCAGACGATCTGCCTGCCTCGGCCTCCCAAAGTGCTGGGATTACAGGCAAAAGCCATCTCGCCCAGCCATAAGCAAACATTTTTAGGACTTAGTAGAACAGAGCCAAGACATTTATAACCTGGGAGCTATAACATCCCCATTAGTTCACTTCTTAAAATGGAGGCATAAGAGTACTGATTATCAATGTTCTCTTGTACTCAGTGGGTATAGTAGGTCAGTAATTCCAGCTGGGGGTCATGTCCTATCTCCATATGTATAACTGAATGGACTGACTTAGTAATTGGAAAAAAAATACCCTCACATTTGTTGTTTGGTGCATATGGTAAGGAATATTAGAGTGGGGAAAGACAAGTGAAAAATACTGAAAATTTTTTCATCTCTTCAAGGTATGAATGAACTATATTAAATGATGTTAAATAAAAATGATACCACTTCTAGAAATAATTATAAAAATCATTGACAACATTTCAGACCTCAAGCATATGATGGTAGTGTTTTCTATCTTATTCCCATTTAGTTTACGAGTCTGGCCACAACAAAATTTAGTCAGAGCCTGGAAAATGAAAGTGAACTTCCATAAAGTCAGAGCTGCTATGGCTGGTGTGTTATCTTTGCTAAGGTAAGTCAACATGGCTTTAGGTATATATTTGGACATTGAGCTGGTGTATGTGTTCTTTTCCATACTTATCAGAAAAAGGAACAGAAAGATGGAAAATCAAATACATTTATAATCTTGCCCCAGTACCATGTTAATTTTCTTGCCCTCTGTTATATTATCTAAGGGGACCAGAAACATCTATATTGGACTATCTTAATTGGAACAGTATATTGAATAAATCATATGATTAGAACAAGAAAAGCACAAAATGATAAGTCTGTTGGAGGCTTTAGAAAGACACATATCCTCTAAATATACCTATATACTCTAGAGAGTAGGAGATAAAAACCTATGAAGATATAAGGGTTTGCAATCAGGGAAGATTTTAGGAGGTCAGTAGTCTGTGAAATGCTAAAGCACCCCCTCAAAATAAAGAATATATTGTTAAATTCCACACCTTCACCAAATAAGAAGGAAGGGCAATCCTTGGTAAACTCATGCTAACGCATTAACTAGATAACACAAGGGGTCTGCAAAAAGAAGCCTGCAGTACAAGTCGCCCTGCTTCTTGAGCCATATGTAATAGAAAATGAATTACTGCTAAACTACTATCCCACTCAGAAATCATATTGAAAAGACTAGTGCAGGAAAATTCTCTGAAGGACAAAGCTTTGAGTAGGGTACCTGGTCATTTACTTTTTGTGAAAATAAATGGATTGGCTAGTTGGTCAGGAGCTTTAAAAATGTTGGAAGATCAGGAAAACAAGGCATTTTAGCTTCTTAGGACTGCCATAATAAATATTACCACAAAATTGGTGACTTAGAACAATAGACATTTAATCTCTCACAGTTTGGGAGTCCAGAAGTGTGAAATCAAAGTGTTGGCAGAACCAAAATCCCCTGAAGCCTCTAGGGAGAATCTATCCTTTGCCTCTTCCAGCATCTGGTGGATGTTAGAATTCCTTAAATTGTAGTCACCTATTCCAATCTCTGCTTCTGTGGTCACATTGTGTCGTACTTGTCTTCTTCTGTCTTCTCTGTGTATCTCTTAGAAGGACACGTGTTATTGGATTTAGGGCCCACCCAGATACTCTAAAATAATATACTCATGTCAAGATATTTAGTTACATATGCAAAGACTTTTTTCTTCAAATGTAACTTTCACATGTTTTGGGGATTCAGATGTGGACAGGGTCAGTCCAATAGAAGGAGATATGGAGAAGAGGCATATAGACTGATCTATGAGAATGGATGCAAAATATGAAGCTATTTGTATTATACATATCAAGTTCACCTGTGTCATTTAGTCCATTAGAGACACTAGATAGCCAATTAGACAGAATGTCTTTTACAGGTGACATTTGCCAATCTCTATCATTAGCCAGCCCAGGGCCGGCATGGAGGGTACATGGAATGGAGTAGTCATGATAGCAGCAATGGAGGTTATGCATGAGCCCATGGCATGGGTTCCCACTCATCAATGCAGATCTAGTTATTGCCATTGCCAAATATCCAACATATATTCAAGTCAAGCCCCCAGTATAACACAATCTCTAGAGGAAACAAATAAGGTACTTGGTGATAAGTTGGCTATATTAGATACCTTACATCCTGGAAGGGGCAGTAATTCTTTCTGACTATCAGCCATCTATATTCCTGGTGTGATTTTGCCCTTCTTGTATGCAGAACCATAACAAGCATCACTCTCCAATGTCATAAATTGCATTGGATCTGCTGACATGGGAATACTACATAATTTTATGGAGACCAAGGAATCTACTATATAGCAAGAGATATTTGGGGTTGTCACAGGACTGTGGAATCCACTAGTTCCATCATATACTACACTTCCCAGAGGCTGCTAAACTTTCAACATTGTGTTTAAGGCACAGTGGAAGCACCAGCTTGGAGACTGCTATGTGACACTGGGATACAGAGTTAGGCACAATTTTATGACAGCCTCCAAGATCCTTGTTTTGTGTTGTATAACTTGTGTAATCTGTTGGCCTGTGGATATGATGGCTTTTATTCCCATGAACATGTTACCTTACACTGAAAAAAGGAAAGTTGTATATGTAATTTAGTTTCCAAATGAATTGACTTTAAAATAGGGCGACTATCCAGGTGGGATCGACTATCACCCACGCCCAGCAAATCTGAGTCTAGAGGTCAGAAACAGTCAGAGATTCAAAAAGCATGGGAAGGATTCAATGTGCCATTACTGGCTTTAAGATAGAGAGGTCCACATGGCAAGGAATATGGGTCAGCTTTAGGAGTTGAGAGTGGCTTCTAAATAGGGGCAACAAGGAAACAGAAACTTAGTTCTACAGTTCCAAGGAAACCAATTCTGCCAATAGCAAGAGTCAGCTTGAACCCGATCTTTTACCTGCAGCCTCTAGATGAGAACTTCTCCTGACCAATACGTGAATTTTAGCTTTGTGATACCCTGATCATAGAACACAGCCACATTGTGCCAGTCTTCTAGTCTACAAAACCATGAGCTAACAAATAGATGATGGTTTAAGCTGCTGTGATTGTGGTAATTTATTATGTAGTAATATAAAACTAATACAGATTTCAGTACTTGCAAATAAGTGACTCCTTAACACATAGCTAAAATGAAGGAGTGGTTTTGGAATCAAGAAGTGAGTAAAAGTCGGAATATGTGAAAGAAAATTCTACAATGCCTTGAACACATTGTTAGGGGTAATACAGACATGGATGGCTACCTTGGAGGGCTAAGAAGGAAGTCAACAACATGTTATCACACAGGAGAAAGGAAGATTTTTCATATGTAGCCACTGAAAGCTTAGCAGAAGTTGTCCTAAGTTGTGGAAAGCAAAATGTATGGGCAATTAATTTGGATATAAAGGTGAGGGGACCCCTCCGACCCCCACCAAGTAAAGTGTTTACGGGAAGCACTGGTTTATTCTTGCTGCTTAGAGCAAAATGCAAGAAAAGAAAAATAAAGGAAGAAGTTACAATCAAAGATCACGAGGTCAGGAGATTGAGACCATCCTGGCCAACATGATGAAACCCGTTCTCTACTAAAAATACAAAAAATAAGCTGACCGTGGTGGCGCATGCCTGTAATCCTAACTACTCAGGAGGCTGAGACAGGAGAATCGCTTGAATGAGGGAGTCGGAGGTTGCAGTGAGCCGAGATCGCGCCATTGCACTCCAGCCTGGCAGCAGAGTGAGACTTTGTCTCAAAAAAATAAAAATAAAAAAAGTAATTTCGATAATTTTAGCCTATTCACATGACAAAAGGTGCTAAGATGAGAGCACTAAAGACAGGGTGGCATAGAGAAAAGGCAGAGAGTGTGGTGGTACAAACTCAGACCAAAACCTCAGAATACTCAAAAGGTCAGAAAATTCTGTCATACAACTGGCTCTTTCCATAGATTAAGAAAATGCTTAGAGGACTACTAGGATTAGATTCCATAGATTAAGGAAATGCTTAGAGGACTACTAGGAAGCTTAAGGACTTTGTGCCTCAGTCAGATCAACGGGAGCCAGAAATAGAGGAGGGATTATCTCAAAAAGATTTGTGGGTATGGCTGTTGTCCAATGGAGTGAAACCAAGTACAATTCGTGCAAGATCACAGGTTCTTGGGAAATCCATATCAGCAAAAATACTGCCAGTTTGTACTGCAAGAGCCAGAGAGCGGCAACAAGCAGGCTGATAAAACTTCTTTGCTAGAAACATGTACTACCTTTTACAATAAGAAAGAATGGTTCTAAGGGTAGAAGAAATTGCCCAGAGGGTGGAGCTGAGAGCCCAGAGGGCCATAGAAAATTACTCCCAGATCTTGAAATATAATTTTTAAAAATCCGCTGTTTTCTCAACTTGATTTCAGGAATATTTTGACCAGTTATTCGTTTGTGCTTCCCATTTCTCTTTTTGAACCAGAATGTCTTAAAAGTGTTATCTTATGCCTGCCCCACTATTGAATATTGGGACTTTGGGGAGCAGATAATTTGTCTCTTAGTTTCACAAGTGCAAAATTGGAGGGAAATTTTGCTCCAGCAGCTGTAATGGATTACACCCAGGATCCTCTTCCAAAACTGATATTTGAGATGTTGAGCTGATGCTGACATCCTTGAAAATTTTAGGAAAGGGTGAATGTATTTTGCTTTTGGAAGGGACATGAATCCTTGGGGCCAGAGGGTGAATTATGGCAGGCTGAATTCTACAATAGCCCCAAAGAAATTCTGTCCCTTTAGTGTACAGATACTGCAAAATTCTTAGTTCTGTGAAGATGATGAATTTTACACCTGTGGTTACATTACGTTGTTTTGACTCTGGAGTGGCTGATGGAAACTAGTTCTAGTTCTTAATTTCTTCTTCTGTTGTAGTACATCAGCTCTCTGATCCCACAGTCAGTCCAAATTGACCGGTTGCTATTGTAGTGATCTAGTTATTCTTCTGGTTTCTCTTGTCTATGACAATTGTGTATCCCAGGAAGCTGGTTATATTACAGTTGTGTTTGCTTCAGTTCATGCAAAGATTCTACCTTCTTTCTTTGAGCCTTTTCATATAAGCCTAGAAAAGAAGCAAAAGGGTCTGAAATTAAAAGAGTGAATGATTCCTTTCTGACTGTAACACTCTTGTCTTCAGACAGTTTAAGGTATATGAAATATTGATAGTATGCCTCTAATTATATTTCACTTCAGTGTGGGTCTTGACAGGGGCAGAGCCCAGCTTTCTAGAGGTGAGAATGAAGATATGACTCATAAGAAGAATCCATAGATTTTATTCAGAAGGCATTCCCTGACATTACTGTTGAAGATGGATTTTTTCTTGATTCTCATGTGCTATCTGCCAGAAATGATTTCAGCTTCTGCTCTTGTTCAGTTTATGCTTTTAGGTGCCTAACAGACCTTTAGAATACCTAAGTTGGTTTCATCTTCAGTGAAATTAGAATGTGTATTTTCCTGCTCCTTGAAATAAAGTAAATTTTAAAAATAAGAATCAAACTTGATGTGTTACTCTCTCCATCTTCTTGCCTCAAAAGAGTATTTTGAGAAAGAGCAGCTAAAGCCAAGTTCATTGAGCTAAGAATGGTTTACTACAGAATGCTGTGATAGGAAAAACATCCGTGGGAGACGTGGAGTGTGGATTACATTTAGGCAGGATATTTGTTGTTAACAGGGTTGTAAAGAACAGCCCTAAAAAAGAAATCATGAACACTGTTACACAATATACCCATGTAACAAACCTTCATGTGTACCCCCTGAATCTAAAATAAAATAAAATAAAAGAAGAAGAAGAGGAACAAGAAGAAGGAGAATGAGAAGGAAAAGAGGAAAACACCATGGGAAAAAGATTGTATGAAAGGTGATGATTAAAAGGACCTGAGTTATCTCTATTTGGATAAGTGTGTCCCTGTGAAACAAGATGGCACTTGCTCCAATCTCCTCTCTCAGTACCCATTGCTTTCCTTCATCACCATATCTAGCCACATGTGTCCTGAAGGATAGCAAGACCCCTCCTCCCTGAAAGGATGAATTCTCTAACAATCAGTGAACTAAGGGCAGCTCTAACTTGAGAAGAATATTCATTTGATAAAGTGTTCATTGAATGAACATGAACATTAACTCCTACCTCTTGCTTGGTTCAGAGCTTATGTTGCATGAGTACAAATTAACAATTACCTCTCTGATTTTTTCTTTGTCTAAAATACACACACACACACACACACACACACACACAAACACACACACCCCAATACAGGGTCTCACAGTTTTAACAATGAGAAAACTTGCTGAGGATAAAAATTATATCATTTAAAATATCAAATTCTAGGTTAGAGTTCCTTCTTGTAGCTCTCTGTAAAGAGAAAGGATTGACACCCAGTATCTTCTTCCATAAGTAATCATTCAACTCATCACCACTTCTCAGAAGGCAGAAGAAGCCATAGTCAGATATTTTTTCTGAGGAATTTTTTATTTTCATAATATATTAATGTTAAATGTCTTTTTTGGGTCTTTATTTTGTATCAGACTATTTATGTCAATTACAAATTCCAATGAGAATATTTTTGTGTTATTCATGTACATGACTATACAAATATCAACAAGACCTTTGACAGGGTAAAAAGTACCATTAAAAGTTTTCTTTTAATGCCCAGTGAAATTCAGATGCATTACATTTACAGTGTTAGATGTCTAATCTGAAGGCCCAATAACCCTTTTAAATAAATAAAATGAAATTACAAACAGAAGTAGTTTTAAAATTATACCAGAATATGTTTTACTGCATTAAGAAAAGCACAGTTTAGTGTAGAAGCAAATGAAACCTATGTACTTAAAAATTAGAAAAAAAAATTACTGCCCTTTTAATTACTTAAAGGACATTTCTCAAAAGAATAAAAATTTGCAATTTAGCAAAATAGATGGAAGAGAGAATGCTGAACAGAGTAGGAAGGCCATTTTAGCCAGTTTGAGAAGGCTTTGGCAATGATCATGAGATGAATATGCAAGAAAAGAATAGGGCAGTGTGTATTTGGACAGGGAAATCACAGAGGAAGGAATAGAAAGGACCCACCACACAAAGACAGTAGCCTGTATTTTTGTGAAAGTTTGTGAACCAGAAGGTGAGACCTCTGCCCTCAGGGCTCTTAAAATCTTTCTGAAACGCAAGACCCCTATGTAGAAAACATAAATATGTAATTTTAAAGCTTAACACAGCATGTATAATTTGGAAAATTTTTGTGACTAACTTAATGTTCCATTAATTTTTTTCCTTATTTTGTACATCTCAGTACTTATATGCAGTTTATATTAACTTTAAATAGATAATATAAATTCTTGTGTACATTTATTCACTTCCTTAACTCAATGACAAGGGCCAGATAAGACAAGGAAATTCCTATGAAAACAAACACACACAAACTACACTGAAATTGAGACATGAAGATAACAGTAAATTTGAAATCAGAAGCATACACACAAAAGGCATGTACACAAACCAGTTTGATCATGACAAATGAATAAAAGGAGAAATAAAAATGGAAACATTTAGGGATGTAGACTGGGTGTACTCCAGTCAGCTGAAAGCATGTTTGCCAAATATCCCTTTGTAGACATTCGCACATACTATGACACCAAAAACAAATATGTTTATGATTCCTTTAAAGTTTGAAAACATTTGTTTCAAGTGTCCCAGTTTCTCCAGCACCCAATAACCTGAAGTTTGGTAAAATATAACTCAATGCTGCTAAAGTTTTTAGTGTTTAAATGAAGGTATCATCCACTGAAATAAATATCACTCCTACATAATTATTAATTTCTTTAAAGAAGAGCTGATATGATAAGATCTGTTATAAGTGTCAGACGAGCCTAACCCTTAATGTGTTAAAATAAAAGACCTTTACAGAAAAAAAGGCAAATTGAAATGGCTGTGAAAATATGTCTATCTTTTAAAAGGAAACACCTTATAAAATACCACTCACTGTACAAACATTCTCATTTTATAAGGTCAATTATTACGGAAAGAGATTACAATAAATTAACCAGTTTCAAGCAGGGACAATGTGTCTAAAATTATATGGTTAGGGCCGGGCGCGGTGGCTCACGCCTGTAATCCCAGCACTTTGGGGGGCCGAGGCTGGCTGATCACAAGGTCAGGAGATCGAGACCATCTTGGCTAACACTGTGAAACCCCATCTCTACTAAAAACACAAAAAATTAGCCGGGTGTGGTGGCGGGTGCCTGTAGTCCCAGCTACTCCGGAGGCAGAGGCAGGAGAATGGCGTGAACCCGGGAGGCGGAGCTTGCAGTGAGCCGGAGCTTGCAGTGAGCTGAGATCGTGCCACTGCACTCCAGCCTGGGTGACAGAGTGAGACTCTATCTCAAAAAAGAAAAAAAAAAAGTGGTTAGGACTGGATTATATATTGAACAATAAACCAAAAAAAAAAAAAAAAAAAAAGAGAGAGAGAGCTTTAAAAAACCTCTTGTTTAACAAAATAAATTATCATCATAACTGCAATGTTTCATAGAACCAGTGAGAACAAGTATTGATTTAGGGCAGGAGGAAGAGTCATAATTTTTCTGACAAAACTATGTGGATGTACAAAAGAACACCAATCACTATTTGACTCTGATAGGTAGAACATACTAGTTACTTTTGCCAAAAACTATATATGAAGGTTTTATCAATTTTACTAAGGCCTCTTTTAATATTTTGATATTTATATGTTATTTTTGAAGTTTTGTATCATTTTCTGTAGCTGTTGAGCTACGCACCCCAGGAAGGTATGTGTCCAAGTCCTAACCTCCCAGCCCACCACTGTCTGTGCCTGTGATTTTATTTAGAAATAGGATTTTTGCAGATGTAAAAAAGTTAAGATGAGGTCATACTATGTCAAAGTGGGCCCTAAATCCATTGACTTATGTCTTTACAAGAAATAAAGGGTAATCAAATAGGAAGAGAGGAAGCCAAATTATCTCTGTTTGCAGATGACATGATTGTATATTTAGAAAATCCCATCGTCTCAGCCCCAAAACTCCTTAAGCTCATAAACAACTTCAGCAAAGTCTCAGGATATAAAATCAATGTGCAAAAATCACAAGGATTCCTATACACCAATAATAGACAAACAGAGAGCCAAATTATGAGTGAACTCCCATTCACAATTGCTACAAAGAGAATAAAATACCTAGGAATCCAACTTACAAGGAATGTGAAGGACCTCTTATAGAAGAACTACAAACCACTGCTGAAGGAAGTAAGAGAGGACACAAACAAATGGAAGAACATTCCATGCTCATGGATACGAAAAATCAATATCGTGAAAATGGTCATACTGTGCAAGGTAATTTATAGATTCAATGCTATTCCCATCAAGCTACTATTGACTATCTTCACAGAATTATAAAAAAATATTTTAGGCCAAATGGGTGGCTCACGCCTGTAATCTTAGCACTTTGGGAGGATGAGGCGGGTGGATCACGAAGTCAGGAGTTCAAGACCAGCCTGGCTAAGATGGTGAAACCCCGTCCCTAATAAAAATACAACAATTGGCCAGGCGTGGTGGTGGGGACCTGTAATCCCAGCTACTTGGGAGGCTGAGGCAGAGAATTGCTTGAACCCGGGAGTCAGAGGTTGCAGTGAGCTGAGATCATGCCACTGCACTCCAGCCTGGGCAACAGAGCAAGACTCAGTCAAAAAAAAAAAAAGCAACACTAATTTAAATTTCATATGGAACCAAAAAAGAGCCCGTATAGCCAAGACAATTCTAAGCAAAAGGAACAAAGCTGGAGGCATCATGCTACCTGACTTCAAACTACACTACAAGGCTACAGTAACCAAAACAGCTTCATAGTGGTACCAAAACTGATATATAGGCCAATGGAACAGAACAGAGACCTCAGAAATAACACCACACATCTACAACCATTGGATCTTTGACAAACCTGACAAAAACAAGCAATGGGGAAAGGATTGCCTATTTAATAAATGGTGTTGGGAAAACTGGCTAACATTATGCAGAAAACTGAAACTGGATCCCTTCCTTACACCTTATACAAAAATTAACTTAAGACGGATTAAGGATTTAAATGTAAGACCTAAAACCATACAAACCCTAGAAGAAAACCTAGACAATACCATTCAGGACACAGGCATTGGCAAAGACTTCATGACTAAAACATCAAAAGCAATGGCAACAAAAGCCAAAATAGGCAATGGGATCTAATTAAACAAAAGAGCTTCTGCACAGCAAGAGACTATCACCAGATTAAACAATCAACCTACAGAATGGGAGAACATTTTTGCAATCTATCCATCTGACAATGGGTTAATATCCAGAATCCACAAGGAACTTAAACAAATTTACAAGAAAATAACAAACAACCCCATCAAAAAGTGGGCAAAGGATATGAACAGACACTTTTCAAAAGAAGACATTTATGCGGCCAACAAACATATGAATAAAAGCTCATAATCACTGGTCATTAGAGAAATGCAAATCAAAACCACCATGAGATACCATCTCATACCAGTTAGAATGGCAATCATTAAAAAGTGAAGAAACAACAGATGCTGGAGAAGATGTGGAGAAATAGGAATGCTTTTACACTGTTGGTGGGAGTATAAATTGGTTCAACCACCGTGGAAGACAGTGTGGTGATTCCTCAAGGATCTAGAACCAGAAATACCATTTGACCCAGCAATCCCAGTACTGGTTATTTACCCAAAGGATTATAAACATTCTACTATAAAGACACATGCACATGTATGTTTACTGCAGCACTGTTCACAATAGCAGACTTGGAACCAACCCAAGTGCCTATCAATGATAGACTGGATAAAGAAAATGTGGCACATATACCCCATGGAATACTATGCAGCCATGAAAAAGGATGAGTTCATGTCCTTTGCAGGGACATGGATGAAGCTGTAAACCATCATTCTCAACAAACTAACACAGGAACAGAAAACCAAACACTGCATCTTCTCACTCATAAGTGGGAATTGAACAATAAGAACATATGGGCACAGGGAGGGGAACATCATACACTGGGGCTTGTTGGGGGCTGGTGAGCAAGGGGAGGGATAGCATTAGAAGAAATAAGTAATGTAGATTACAGGTTGATAGGTACAGCAAACCACCATGGGACATGTGTACCTATGCAACAAACCTGCATGTTCTGCACATGTATTCCAGAACTTAAGTATAATTTTTTTTAAAAAAGAATATGTAGATACATAAAAGATACATAAGGTATCTTTCCTGAATTTTGGATAAAGTAGGTACCTAAAGGTACATGTAGTATACATGAAGCATTTTTTTTTATGTAACTTGGATACATAGATACATAAAGAAAATAATGCTATGTGAAGACAGAGACAGATTCGAGTGATGAGTCTACAAGTCAAAAAATGACAAAGATTTCCAGAAACCACCAGAAACTAGAAGAGAGGCATGGAACAAGATTTTTCCTGAGTCTCTAGAAGGTATCAATAGTGCTAACACATTAATTTTGGGCTTCTAGCCTTCAGAACTGTGAAGGAATAAGTTTTTGATGCCGTAAGCCATTCAGTGTGTGGTAGGTACTTTGTTATGTCAGCGCTGGGAAATGAATACATCATCCTCATCAATTATCTCTCCTTCAGTTCTTAACTCATCTATCTCTTTCAAATCTTTATCTATCAGTCTCTTTATCAGTAATTTAGTTCCACATTTTTTGTTCCTAAGGACTTTATAGAATTGCTATTTTTGTGTGATTTAAATTTGGAGATCGATTTACTTGCAATTTTGAGATATATAAAACAGATAGACCATAACACAGTGGGAAGGATTAGAATGGAATGCTAAGGTGAAAAGAGTTTAAAGAGGGATAACATATATACAAGGTCAGTTAACTGTTACATTTTTCTTTGTGATGACTTGTTTCCCTAGACATTGCCATGATTGTAGAACTCAGATAATGAATAATCAGGTAATAACGACCAACTGTTCTTTATTTAACTTGACTTTTGAAAGAAAAGGGAAGATTTCTTGGAAAAACAACTTTAATACAGACTTGAGAGAGACTTCATATTTGATGAAAGTAGAAGACTCACAGAAAGTTCTAGATACTAAATTTGCAGTTTGAAGTGAAGTGAGAGGGGAGTTATAAAAAAAAGAATGCACTATTGGATTATCAGTTTATTAAAATATAAAAATTTTATAGAGAGTATATGAAAAGCCATTGATTGAAATATTTTCAGGCAGTCGATTCTCTGAAGATGAGAGAAATTTTTAAGTAATTAAAATAGAAATACTTCAGAAATGAAATAGATATAATAAAAAGCTATAAAATGAGATAAATTATGAAAATTAGGCATCAGAAGAGAAAGACAAGTCTCCTCAGTACCGTGTAAAATAAGAATGCCAATAATATCTATGTTTGTAGTTTCCTTATAATGGAAATTTCTGAAGTGCTGTCTTGAAAATGAATAGATCCTGATTGAAAATGAAAGAAAATAATTTTAATAGACTGATAAGAATAGTAGAGTTGTGCAATTGAGAATTCTTAAATAATTTAGATGTATCTATTTATATGGTTTTTTTCCACAAAGGTTTTCAATAAGAGATCAGTGACTATATGAACTGCTTCCTTATGTAGGGGAAAAGATATATATATTTAGAAATCAGTCTGTCAACCAAGCAAGAGACATGGTTGAGTAACCTACAGATGAAGCGCATTGTACTTAATATGGTATGTAAGGATGGAAAAATAAATTAGTATAAACTTGAGAGATATTAAAAAATATTTACAGAGTATTTGAATTGTGATCATTAGAAGATCATGCTCCTAATTATTTTATATGATCATATTGTTTAGCTGTTTGAAATTATACTTTGATTTACTATAACCTAAAGGATAAACTTTAGAATCATAAACATGATATATGTTAGACCCTTGAAATTTGCTACAACTTTTCCCACTGCTTCCTGGGCCTCCACTTTTCCTCTTTCTTATCTCATCCACACATAGGCCTTTGATGTTATCATATAAAATTGTTATTTTTTTCCTAAACTGCTTATGTCCTTAGCAAACATTTTTCCCTTCCTCTTTGTCCTTCTGAGTAAACTTTCCTGCATTTTAACACTTTGCTCAAGTTTCACCTCCTTTATGAGGTCTTCCATGATTTCATTATCTAGTAATTATGTTTATATTTATCAGATAAATATCTGATAAACAGTATTTCTTGAGAAAATACCTACAAAACATATGAGTGACTTCAATTTAAATTAATCACAACAAAACCTTATGGAAACTCTATGCAGTTCATAATTTCTTACCATGATTTTCCTAGTTTATTCATAATGCTGCACACCAAATTCCATTTTTACTTCTCTATTTTATCAAAAGCCTTCTTATTTGCTGTACAAAAGTATTGAAATATCTGCACACATACTCCCTGTCAGCTAATGGCCTTGTTTTATATTGCATTTTTTAAAAAGATGCTATCAGATGGGATATCCTTGCCTTCTTTCTCTTAAACCTCACAAGTTTTCTGAATCTGAGCCCATACTCCCTTCTCCTTCATTGCTACTATACAGAACATAGCTAACAAAGGCTCTTGCATTCTGGATCACATTCTTTCTTAATTTCTCACAAATTTTATTCTGGAAATTACACATTGAATCATCCGAATTATCAATTTTTCCTTTTCTAGTGACATATTATAATCAGCTACAACTGTCTTCTTTAAAACTGACACACACACATGAATAAATCATCCCTCAACCTTCACTTCTTTGTCCAGGCACACCTCTCTGTTTGCTCATCTTTACAACAAAATTTTTGAAAGAATAAAATCTTGACAGTCACACCTATCTCAGATGAGCTTCTGTTACCTAACTCATCCAAATTTGATCTTATCAACTTTACCAATGACTTCAATTTGATAAACACAAATACTACATCTCTGTGTTCACCTATCATGTGTTCTTAGTATTATTCAACGCAATGAATATTTTCTGAAAAATTATCTCTTCTTGTCTTGTATGTCACTATTCTTTTTGTTTTATTCCTACCTGTCTTAGTCCATCTGGGTTGCTATAACAAAGCATTACAAACTGGATAGCTTATATATTACATAAATTTATTTCTTACAGATCTGGAGGTTGGCAAGTCCAACATCGAGGAGCAAGCAGATTCAATGTCTGGTGATGGTCTGCTTTCTTCATAAATGTATGTCTTTTCACTGTAACCTTATGGAAGAAAGGGCTATCCATTTCTCTGGCATCTTTTGTATAAGGGGATTATTCCCATTCATTAGTTTGGAGCCCTAATGACCTAATCAACTACCAAAGGCCCCATATTCTAATACCATCACCTTGGGGGTTAAATTTTAAGACAATATTGGAGGGAACACATTCAGATCATAGCACTAGCTCCAGAGGTAATGATTTGTATTCTCTTCCCTTGGTTCCTCTTATGGTTGCAGAACTATAAATATTGAAGTACTATCAAATGTTGGAACTGGACCCTATTTTCTTTTTTGTTATGCTCTTGTCTTTTGTGATATAATTTCAGGTGTGGTTTTAAAAACCCACTTACAACTGACTTCCATCTGTTTACCTCCTGTATTGAACTTTCTTCTAAGCTCCAACTGCTTTCTTGATATTTTTCACTTGTAGAACAACATGCCAAATGCAGAATTCATAATTAATTCTCTTACTGTGTCACACAAACTTTCTCTGCTTCTGTATTATACATTTCAAAACATATCCTGTGAGACAGGTATTTTCTGTAATCTGGGAAGCATCCATAAAGTCAATCTCTCAAAAATATATTCTGAAGCTATCCATTTCCATCTGTTTTCATTGCTGCTTCCCTAACTTAAGCCACCATTCTTATCCTCTAGACTCCTGTCAAAGAAGCTAGTGGGTCTACTTGATTCCACTTTTCACTAGTGCATTGCATTGTCTACATGGAGTTCAGAGAGAATTAGATCAATTCACTCTTTTGCTCATAATACTGCCAAGGCTTATCTTACTAGCTATTATCAAATCCAGTCTCATTGACAATATTCATATTGACCTCTTGTAATCTGACACACACCTGGATCTCTGAATTTATCTCATGTTTTACCTCTGACTTCTTTCTCTCATTGATATGGATTAGAATGCTCTGTCTGGTCCTCGCAGTAGCAAGTTTGCTACAGCATTAAAACCTTTATATTTAGTTATTCTTTGGGCCGTAATAATACACCTTCAGATTTTCATATGGTTAACTTTTTTCATCATTCAATAGTTTAGCTATTAGCTCCATAAAGAAGCCATTCTTGGCCAACCAATCATAAGTATCCTCCTACTACTCTACACCAGTTGTTCTCAATTAAAATTTCTATTTTATTCTTACACTTGACAATAGCCAAAGGCCAAGAAATGATCTATTTAATTTTTTATGGTATTTTGTGAGGGCTGATATGATCACTTTTAATGTGCACTTTGATGCTCTTTGACAAACCATAAGGCCCATTAGAATAAGAGCCTGTGCCTCATCTCTGCTTAATTTTCAGCATCCGTAATGGTTTCTGACCCATAACACATAATAAATATTTGTTGAATGAATAAATTCTGTTTTATAACAGAGTTCAGCACATTTATCTACTTTCATTTAATACACTATAAGTTGTTTGAGAATAAGGACCATGGGTACGTTACCTGGATTTCCAGGTAATTATAAGATAAGAATCTCATAATAAAACAGTAACTAAAAACCTGTGAATACTTGGAAAATGGCAGTCATGGTGGTATACATTTTGCTAATCTCTGAATCCACTGATTAAAAAAAAAGGCCAACTGCATATAACAAAATAAATAAAACAAAACAAAACACAGATAGCATATATAACATAATTGAATAACAGCTTAAGTGATGACAATTTACTAGTTGTGACATGACATCCATGATATGAGAATGTATGCAGGAATAAATAGATGGAAGCAGTAGCACATCTGACAGGTCAGAGAAGAGGAGAATCCCAAAGAGTCAACATATTTTCACTTTAAGGTCCTCTGGACCAATTTGAAAACAACAGCTGTAGTTGGATTTTGCTGCTCTAACAGCACAGAGATCCTGGGTATAGGTCCTAGAGCAGTTTGAGTCACAGAATCTCATGAAACCAGCCAGACATAGCTCCTTTCCAGGGCAGAGTCTTAAACTTGGGAGTAGAATCACAATGAAATAGAATAGAGAGAGAAGAGAGATGAAGGAAAGATGGAGATCTAGATAAACAGGGGAGAGAAGAACAGAGCCTGGAAATCTCAGAAAGGAAGTTGCTGTGTTTTTAAACACATTCCCACAATAATGGAACAGGAAATTAAATGAAGTTAGAAAATCTATCTTGAACTATGTCTGCCTTTAACATTTTAGGTAAAATAATGTTGCCTTAAAGGCTCCAATCTCATAAAATGGTATTATTAAAAAAAAAACAGAGAATAAGGGGCAGAATAACACTGCTACAGTTAATGATAGCATGCAAGAAAGATACACCCACAAAACAGATCAAAACTGTTACCTATTATTTCTGAATGAGGTAAAATAAGAAAATGGTAATACTAAAAAACATACTTTACAAATTTATAAAAACTCACAAGTGAAGTAAGATATATCAGGTATAAATTAAAAATAATAGAAAAATAAGTTGCAGGTAAATTTGAAATCAGAAATCAGAAGAAACACAAAAGCAAATAACATAGGTAAGACCTTAAACGAAATAAGTAAAGAGAAGGGAATTAAATTTTTAAAGTAGAATTTAAAAATAATTTTTTTTAAATATGAAAAATAATGAAAGTAGTCAAAAAACAACATATGGATTATAATACTTCCTAAAGAAATATAAAACAAGATAATGTAATAAATACTAAAAAAGCATTGTTCCAAACACTTTTGGAAAACTAAAAATAGCAAACCAGCAATTGACAGAGCACACTTCAGCCTAAGAATATCAACACAGAATAACCAACACTCAAACATATATACTTGCAAAACTTCTGGACTTTAAACAAAAGAAAAATGCTTTGGTAATCTAAGCCAAAAAAAGAAAATACCTTAAAAGGGAAGGAAAACTGGATAATCATCAGACACTTTGACAGTAACATTTTATGCTAGAAGAAATTAGAGAAACTATGAGCCAAAGATTTTACACCCACACACACACACATCTGACAATCAAGTATTAAAGACAAATTGCTATCAACATCTAAGAACTCAGGGATTATGACTCCCACAGCAGTTTCTAAGAAATCGACTAAGAACAAGCTGCATAAAACCAAAGTAACTAGAGAAATATTAGTGTACACTTCTAGGTATAAAGGTGGAGACTCAATAAATGAGACTTTATTGGAAAAGTGAAACTGCATGAAAGTTAAAAGAGAAATAGTATCCTTTTTAGTGGCTCTATGTTCACACAATGTAAAGTACAATTATTAAAATATGGGGAAAGAATGGGAAGAGCCTAGAAAAACTGACTTCTTTCAGTAATCATACTGATGTGGATAATATTTTTTTGTGTTTAATGTGTGATAAACAAAATATCTTATTATTTCCTATGTTTTGGAAAATCAGGATTAGCTTTGTAGAAGAAATCATACAGATTTAGTATAGCATAAATAATAATCCTCTAGCCCTGAATTTAAATTGGTAATATAATTTCATGAAGTACTCTTTCCATATATATATGTAAATATATATGCGTGTATGTGTGTATATATATATACACACACTTTAATATATTCTTTTACACACACATACATATATATAAATGTAGTCTTCTAAATGAATTTAGAATTTTATATATATATATATATATATATATATATATATATACACATACACTTAATTTGCTGACTAGACAAACTTCTAAGATAGCGCCCAGTGATCTCTGCCTCCTGGTATTCATGTCCTGGTGTAACTCCTAATCCTTATTGTCATCCTCCTTTTAATGAATAAGATGGCAAAACTAAGGGACGTCACTTCTGTGATTATAATACAAAATATTATATCCTCCATCTTGCTAAGAGACTCTTTTATGGCTTTCTCAGCATGCATGCTTTGATGAAACAAGCTATTCTGTTCAAGAGGCCTATGTGGCAAATAATTTAGTTTAGTTTAAACTAGGACCCTCAATCCATCCCATAAAGAATTGCTTTCTGTTGACATCCATGTGGAAGTGAAAATGATTCTCCACAGTTGAGACTTTTGATGAGACCTCAGCTAACATCTTGACAGCAGCATGGCAAGAGATCCACTAAGGACATGGTAAATGTCATTAATGTCTAACACCTGCTAGATACTTAGTAAAGATTTGTGAAGTAAGTGAATATGTGTATTTTATACTTTAAGTTCTGGGATACATGTGCTGAATGTACAGGTTTGTTACATAGGTATACATGTGCCATGGTGGTTTGCTGCACCCATCAACCTGAAAAAAGATCCCGTATAGCCAAGACCATGCTAAGCAAAAAGAGCAAAGCTGGAGGCATTATGCTACCTGACTTCAAGGCTACAGTAACCAAAACAGCATGGTACTGGTACCAAAACAGATATATAGACCAATGGAACAAAACAGAGGCATCAGAAATAACACCACACATCTACAGCCATCTGATCTTTAACAAACCTGACAAAAGTAAGTGAATATATTAAAGTATATGTTGAGAATACACACAAAATGAAGAATTATTTACTTGAAATTTATCTAAGATTATGTTTAACAGGGTTGTAAGTTCCTAATAACAAGGTTTAAAATATCTAGTTCTTTAAGAACCATCCTCTGTCAATTGTGAAATACATTTTTTTGTATTAAAAATAAAACAAAAAAAACTATTCTCATTGTATTGATAAAATAATTGCCCAAGGAATAGGGTTGTCTGGTGAGAGCTTAATTATGCCATTGTGATTTCCTTTCAGATTTGTGGGGCATGTAATGACTCTCGCTATGTAGCCAATTGTAATTATAAGGCACTTAAATACAAAAATTCAAGATGGGCTGATTGATTGCTCATCAATAATCTGAAAAGTGGTCAGAGGCTAAGAAGTAAAATTAAATGATAAGTGTTAAGAGGTGACCACTTCCGAAAGGGGGCACAATCCAACTCTTAACAATCCCAATGGATTTAGTCTTCCAAATGAACTTAAAATGTGAGATATTGAGACATTATGACCTCCTAGTACTTTAATACAGTAGTTGTTCCTCATTAGCAGGGCTAGAAATATAATTCTGTCAGATCATTATTAAACTGAATCCTAGTTTTTCTATTCCTACTCAGACTGATTAACAATTGGAGAAACACATTTCCACTAACACCGAGAGGTATTTGAAGAAAGTGGTATTAAAATATATGATTTATTAAAGAGAAGTATTAAAGGTTTCATGATGAAAAGGTTTATGATACCTTTACTAAGGAAAAGAAGCACACATTTTTTTCTTTTAACCCAAGTTAATTTTTACTGTTTAGGAATAGTATCATCATATTTCATAGAATCTAAAGTGCTACTATTAGTGATTTTAAGAGATTTCTAAGGAAATAATGCTGCCATTTATAATTATAAAACATGAACAATTGTAAAATGCTTCTGATTTCAGAGATAATAAATATAGGAAAATGTGAATTATAAAATATGGTACAAGTTATTAAGTCACCAGATCGTAGATATAAAGTTGGATGTTTCAGATGGCACACAAAGGAAGGTCTTGCTTTTCTATGTTTGATGCCTATTATTGTTCTATTATCTTTCAGGCTCAATGCAAAAAATCACTCATTCTCCCTGCTTTAGTAAGTACTGCTTACTGCTTCAGTAACATGCTGAGTATGACATTCTTTTTTAATAAAAAATGCCTGTCTTTACAATTTCAGATGAAATACTAGGTCCTAAGGATATTATTTGATGGTAAATGAGGGAAAAAGCCATTATCACCTTACATATGCCTTATACTGACTATTATTTTCACAGAACTGTGCGCAACTATATTCTGTCTTCATAAGGGAAATAAATGCTCATGAGATCCAAGTCTCTGTCTTTTGAATGAGGAAGATGAGTCAACCTTTACATCTCAAATATGACCCTATAAAAAGTGTAAGATAGAGAATCCAAGCATTCACAAAATTTGAGTGATTCTTGACTGCAGAACATTGACATGAGTGAAATTTTTTTATTACAAAACCCAGATTTAAGGACAGCCTTAGGCAAATGAGTTTATAATGAAGTATACATAATGTTATATAGGTATTGGTATGAGGGACAGGTTTTAATTAAGAAAAGTTCCAGGAGGTCTGTCCCTTAAAGCTTCCAGAGTTTGAACCCTGTATTAATTTTCTGGGCTGCCATAACAAAGTTATACAGATTGGGTAACTTAAAGGAAATTTATTTTCTCATGATTCTGGAAGCCAGAAGTTCAAGATCAAGGTGTCAGGGGCGTTGTTTTCTTCTGAGGGCCTATCATTTTGACTTGTAGATTAATATCTCCTCGGTTTTTTTTTTCAACATATGAATTTAAGGGAGTGGGAGGACAAAATCCAGCCCATAACAGACCCAAAGGAATTTAGTCTCCTAAATGAATTTAGAATTATGGAGCTCACAGCTAGTAAATCCATCACCCTGGGTCTTGCCTCTGATGGAAGTTCAAGTGATTGAAATATCTGCCTCTTATGTTTGATACAATTTCAGAGAACTGCAGTGGGGTTGAATTGTCTAGAGGCAATTCTAGAAATTCTGTTACCCTTTATAGTGATAAACTAACAACACATGGAGACATAGGATATATTATGCCACCCTAATGTTCAGACTCTGGCTGCTAAATTTATGACACCTAGATATTTGGTGGTAGCAATGTAGAAGCAGTTGTAAAATTATATCAATTCAATGTTACATAAAAATATGGATTGTTATTCTCCACTGAATGTTCAATTCAGATGAAAGGAGTTGCCTAGCTGTTTAACTTCAAAAGGACAGTTGCTTGATAAATTCATAGATAAGAAAGTGAGGAAGATCTAAGTAAGTGAATGATAAGGTAAACAATATGGAGCTCGGAAAATAGCTCCTTAAGTGTATATTTAAAATTTTTCTTTTGGAATTTGAATTCCTAAACAATGCTGCAATGTTTACTTTAAAAAAGAAAAAGGCACTTAGTAAACAAGCTAGTGTTCCTGGAAAAGAGCAAAATACGGGTTATTATTAATCAGCTTCATGGCAGTTTATGCAAATTTAAGTTCTAAACATGAATACTTAGTAAAAATTTCACATTTGCTAGACTTGCTTTACCACTCTTAGAGACAATGTTGATAACAAATAGCTTCTTTGAAATACAAAACTCCCTTTCTGTTATTCCTTGATATATATTCAGACAGTACAGATCTGCCATATTTATCCTACACCATTTACATTTTCACTACCCCAGAAAATTATGAGTTCTTAGAAAATAGATCTATCCTTCCTCATTTTTTCTCTAAATCTTAATTTACCTTTCTTTTGGTATCACCTATAAAAGCCTATACCTGTGTTTATGATTTTAGTTCTGATTAGATAAAAGTCTAATAACTAAGCAATAATTGGCTCTTTTTAAAACCTAACTCTAGTTTTGCTTCAACATCAGCTTTTCCTACTTCAGAGGCTTTCATTATTTATAGCTGAAAATCATACAATTACCCTGTTTCTCTGAAGAAGATGTAAGATAATATACAGCCCTTGGGGAGATTTAAGTAAAAGGAAATTTTAAGATACTCTCCAGCTTAGTAAAATATAACACCCCAAGGACAATTGAGTTTTAAATATAAAATCACAACCCTAGCTACAATCAAGGAATGTCATAACCAGAGAAGATTAATAAAAAGATTTGCTCACTTAATAACGAGAAAACTGAGGTCTAGAGAAATTAATGGCTTATCCAATTATACCAGAAGTTAATGCAAATATGTAATTTAAATGGAGCTATTCTGAATCCCAGATCACTAATAATATTTTAGTACAATAATTAATCCATTGTGTTTTTACATGTTTACAGTTTACAAAGGGATTTGTATGCATACCGTATACATTGCCTTATTTCATCTTCAAAATGACCTCTGCAACATGTAGGGAAAATATTTTAACCATTGAATTTCACTTACACATAAAATAATTGAACCTAGGGACATGAATTGGTTTGAAGAAGATTACAGAATTACAAAAAATATGTATTCTAGATCAGTCTTATGCCATCTTGCTATAGAGCTTTGAATATTCCCACTACCAGCAGTTCAATGTCTAAAGTAATTTGCTGACCAAGTACCTGATGTGCCTCCTTCAAACCAAGTGCATTTGTTATTGTTTATAACTTCATAATTGTTCTCCAGACCTGCCATGCTGATTCAGCTGGAGACACTATCATTGTAGTACAGATATGCTATAGGACATCCTCACAGTCCCCAGGGAGTAGACAACCTTAAATTCTGAGTCACTGAGTTTTGATTCAAACTGAATTTAAGATACTGATTTTTTCTCTTCTTTCCTACTAATAAGACAGTAAGGGGGTAAGATTTGTTTTGTATTTTAATATTTTATTTTATTTTTTCTCTAGTCAAACCAATAAAGTTAAATAGAAACAGAATTCAGTTTTTCCATAAAAATTTAACTCAAAGTAAAAGTTAAAAATATATTTTCTTGTCATTGTCTGTTCTCAAGGAAAACTACCCAGTCAATAAGCATTTATTGACTGAGTGTGGCAGTCTTTGTCTACAATGGTTTGTCCTCATTTTACTGTGCTTGTAGAAACAAAAATGTAGAGTACTTGACTCACAAAGATAAGAATTTTTAGAAAAGAGCTCACTGTGCAATTAATTTGCTGACAATGGTAGGGAGAGATAATAGAATTGAATTGGGAGTCAGAAGTTCTTTGGCCTAGCCCTAACTTTACCATGAGCTTTCTGTGAACACATAGATCTGTTCCCTGGGACTCCTTCAGCATCCTGACTTCTTAAATTTTTGAATAAAATATTCTTGGAAATCCTTTCTGTTTCTAAAACATAGATATTTATATTTTCCTGGTTGGCCTTGGTGTTTGGTGCTTGATCCTGATGTCTCTTTTTCTTTTTCTTTCTTTTTGGATTCTTTTATCAGTTAATCAACTGTATTCTTCAAAAAAAAAAAAAAAAAGAAAAAACCATGAAGAATTATGTCTTAATTTGAATTTCTTCTAGCTATCCATTGATAAAACAGCTTCAATATGGCAATGTGTGGCACTTTTGCATGTATGTGGCTCCTGAGTGAGACTATACAGAATAAGGAGGAAAAGAAACTTTCAAGTTCAGTAATGCCTGCTGTTTCCTTCACTTTAAGAAACCTCTGCATATATATTTGTATTAATTATGTTTTATTTAATACTGGAATCATTTATCAAGGTATATTTCTAGTCTATTGCCTTCTGTTCAAAGAAGCAGTGTTCACCAAGTCTGTAGGTATCAGGCTTGAGGGTAGAGAGGATTGATTTGCATATGACAGGGTGAACGGAAGGTGGAAAGCACACACCTCCACATATATATGCATTCCATCTGCATGGAATCTAAGTTACTTGTTAATTCATTTGGGTATTAAGGCTTACTCTCTAATTTGTGTTGGGTGTGAAACTAAATGTAGGGACATAGTTAATATGCTGGGTACATGCATTCTGGGAATAAGAGAAAAAGCACAAGCTTTGACTTGATCTGTGATTTATCTTGACTTACAATCTTTCTAATTCTAAATTTCTCCAACTAATAAAAGATGATGGATAGTGTTTTTTAACTTATAAGGTTATTATTTCTTAACTTCTGAGGTTTTTGTAAATATTAAGTGTGATAATTTGTATACATCTAACTCCTGTAGTCCCGGATTTAAAGGGTATTGAAATCCATTTCTCAATTACTAACGACATACATAGACATACACAAATACATACAAATAAATGAACACACACACACATTTACACAAACATACCTGAACACAACTGAATACCACATACTTGACACCCTTTTGCCTAAAGTGTTACATAATGCAATCCAAATTTTAAAGGCATAAGGACATCTATTAAACATGAAGTCAGTAAAAGAAAATAATATTTTAAAGAATATCTCATGCTTACAATGGAAACTGTTGAGTCAAAGTTCCTTGTTCTCTAAAGCATTACACTGTCCATCTCTTTGTGACTAGATCCAGATGTAACAGAAAGCATGGGCTTTGATGGTCAAACACATGTTGGATACAATTCTGGTCCCTTATATACCGTGCAACTTCAGATAAGTAATTTAAACTCTCTAAGTCTCGGATTTACTATTGTTGGTATGGAAATAATATTCTTCTCATACATGAAGAGTTAAAGAACGAATGAAATAACATAACGTCCCAACATGGCACATTCACATAATATCCCATCTTTTCTCTGTGCAGGTCTTTACCATAAACAGAACAAAATGTGCAGCCAAAAAATCTGTACTTCCCTTGATTCCTCAATATTAATATTTCCCTATGAGTCTGTGGTACTCCTGATTCATGCTTATAATTGTGCTCTGCTCAAAGTAACACAAGCAAGCAGCTGAAAAGTAATTTGAAAATAACTACTTTCCTTCTGTCTTGCCCCGAATGTTATACAATTACCAAGATTTCAAAGAGCAGCAAATGTTAGTCCTTCTGTCCATCCTGTCCTTCTTGTTCACTTCTCAAACACTATACTATTCCAGTGCTCCAGAGATGCTCTAAATTCCACCCTGATTGATGCTGAAAACATTATTTTCTAATCTCAGTCTTTTGTAACACTTCTGCCTTTTCATGCTCCACTTGCGCATTAGATTCTTTCACTTCCACCAATTCTTCCACATTTTAAGGGAGATAGAGTAGATCCTCATAAACACCATTTCTTGTAGTTTCCTATTTGCTACATCCCAGACTGTGTATTTTACATACATTGTATTACTTAATATTCAGGAAAAGCAGTGATTCTTAGTGATATACATCCCAGACTGTGTATTTTACATACATTGTATTACTTAATACTCAGGAAAAGCAGTGATTCTTAGTGATATATGAGATGGCCAGCCATTATGTTGTTATCAAATTATAGGGTCTTTTGAGATTGACATCTGACTGCTATGACAAAAATAAATTATTTCAATATTGCTGAATAACAAGATAAACATAATCAAAGAAAGCACAGATGTGATTCATCTCACAATTAGTGACTTTATGAAGTTAAACACGCTGAAGTTAAACAAATTCACATTGATCTAAAGATGTTTTTACCAGCACTCAGCAATGCTAGCAATCTAATATAGCTTAAGATTTAATAAAAGGTAGATTCTATTAATCAAAGTGTTTTTAAAGGCTATTGTTTCTTTGCCTTCTTTTATGATTTAGAATATTAGAGCCTTAAGGTTTTTCAGAGGAATTAACTACATTAGTTTAAAGATGAATCAGTACCCATTGATAAAATAATCTTTAAAAAGAATAATATATAATATTTAAAAGCTTATTCTAAGATAATAAATTACATTCTAATTTTTTTTTCAAATAAGCCGTTAATATCAGATGCAATTAAGAAGGGTTGGTGAATTTCAAACAATATACTCTAAATATTAGAGGCCACCTTAAGTTTCTCCTCTTATATTTGATATTTTACTATGAACACGGAAAAATCAAAGTTCTTTCATTTTCAGGTGTTTTGAAACAAAATGGAACAATGTTACAAAAGGATCAAGTCTTAAGGTATTGTTGGGAGATTGTGTTTATTTGTTTATTTATTCCTTCACTGATAAACATAATAAACAACTAACTTGTGTATGAGATAGTGTTTTGGAGATATTTTGGAAATCTAACTTTTCTCCTCTGGATCCTTGAGATGATCAGATAGTTTGATTAAACAATTATGTGATGATCTCATACTTCCATGAATAGTATTTTCGAGATTCAAATTTATATTCACAATTTGGTGTGAAATCACAATGTTTTGTTTGCTGTTTTTGCTTGTCTGGGTTTGTTTTGAAGGTGTCCCATACCCATTGTCTGTGTTCCCTTTCACTTTAGGTAACCATTAGTTTCTCTTTAGTTTGGAAGATTTTTCTTCTGTTTTCTCTTAATGGATAATATTTATGATTTGTGTGTCCATACTTAGTCATTAAGAATAGGTGTTTTGAAGAAAACATGCTTTTTTTTTCTTTTACATTTACTGGTTTATTATAAAGGATAATACAAAGGACATGCTGTTCTTATCTCTGACTTTCCTAATGCCAAGCTGGTTCTACTTTCCTACTGACTTCTATTTTGGAAAGAATAAGAAACACTGTTTTCAGAAGATCAGTGCTTTCAGACAGACTGAAACTTTCACATCGTGGAGAGGCACCAATGGAGTTTCCCAATTTCTTAATATAAATTATATAGGAGGAATAATTTTAAGAGATCTATTATAAAACATGGGGACCATAGTTAGTGATAATATATTGTATACTTATGATCACTAATAAAGTAGATAAGTGTTCTCACCACACAAAAATAACTGTGAGGTAACGCATATGTTAAATAACTTGATTTAGCCATTCCACAATGTGTATATATTTCAAAAAATCATGTTATACACAAGATTATATGCAATTTTTTCTTTGTCAATTACAAAAGTATTTAGTTAAAAATAAAAATTTAATAATTTTTTCCACTCGAGGCCTTCCTTTAACTTCTGAAACTTTTTTCCTTGTAGGAAGTGTTTTTTTTTCTAGAGCATTTCTGATATGGAGGATTAATATTTCATGAAATAATTATAAATGCCTGACTTGCAGCAGCTTTTAACAAGGAAAGGACACACAATGATGGAATATTAATGTATAAGCACCACTCATATTAAAGTTCTTGTCAGAAAAATTTGGGTTTGGAGTGAAAATATGTGTTTCTTTTTCTAGTTTATACAGCACTTTTATTATGGTGCTTTTATTTATTAAAGTACCTCGATGTAAAAGACTTAGGCAATCTTTCTATTTGTTTTATTGCTACTCTGTCAGGGAGAGAAAAATTATAATCAACTTTTTTCAAAGTAGAGAAGTGAAAATTGCAAATAAACTTCTAATGTGGGTCAAAATCAAGAACTTTGGATTTTTATGATATCAATGACATAGTAGTTAAAACCTCAGATACACCTGTATTAAATTCTTTTTTTTTTTTTTTTTTTGAGACGGAGTCTCGCTTTGTCACTGAGGCTGGAGTGCAGTGGCGCGATCTCTGCTCACTGCAACCTCCACCTCTTGGGTTCATGCCATTCTCCTGCCTCAGCCTCCTGAGTAGCTGGGACTACAGGCGTGTGCCACCACGCCCAGCTAATTTTTTTGTATTTTTAGAGATGGGGTTTCACTATTGCTTTGTGATCATGTGCAAGATACTTAACTGTAATTCTCCTGCCTCTCATTTGAAAATAGAGATAATAACAGTACAATTGTCCCAGGATTGTGGTAAAGATTAAAGAAAATATGGCACAAGTGTCAGGAATTGGTATCTATTATTATTATTATTATTAATTCAGGTCTAAATCTTCATTACATAATAAAATAATTGCTGTTTCTACCTTCACACAAATTCTTAAATCTCTGCCTTCTCTCTTATATTTTTTCCATTGCATGAAAACTGTTTCATTCCAAGGCAATACTAACTTCCTATTTGCTGAATAAATGGACATTTTTCAGACCTTATCTTCCACTCGCTGTAACTTTTGGCACTGTTTACCAGTGCTCTCTTCTTGCAACTGTGTAAAATTTTGCCTTCTCAGTTGATTGGAGGATACAGAAGAACCCTAGAGTATGAGCTTCCTCTCTTTACATCTTGTCTCACTGCTAAAGACCTCACTATTGTTTTAAGTATATGTCCTGTGCTCTGTGCCCTATATATGTGGGCTTTATTACCTATGTCCTTCTCTCTAGGCTACGTGGGCTGACTTTTCCACTATGGGTTTCCCAAGAGTAAAGGTATCAAGTTCATATACTTGTTACCTAAAATAGATGAAATGAGATTAAATGGCAAAACCTGACACATTATTTAAGTGAAAAACTATGCTTGTAACAATAGGGATGTGATTATATGTCTAGCTGTAGTTCCATAGACCATCTATGCTCCCTTAGTAAATTATCATATGTCACTGGCCTAAAGAAATAAGTAGAAAAGGCCAGGCGCAGTGGCTCATGCCTGTAATCCCAGCACTTTGGGAGACCGAGGCGGGCAGATCACCTGAGGTCGGGAGTTCGAGACCAGCCTGACCAACATGGAGAAACCCAGTCTCTACTAAAAATACAAAAATCAGCCAGGTGTGGTGATGCATACCTGTAATCCCAGCTACTCAGGAGGCTGAGGCAGGAGAATCGCTTGAACTCAGGAGGTGGAGGTTGCAGTGAGCCGAGATGGCACCATTGCACTCCAGCCTCGGCAACAAGAGTGAAAATCCAACACACACACACACACACAAAAAAAGGTATCATAGCTGGAGTTTCATAATTGAGGTAAAGATATTTAAAATAGTCTGTGACATGCTTGCTGTAAGTCAGATATAATTGTCTTTCCAGTAGAAAACAGATGATTAAAAGTCAGAAAAGTTAAGGCATGAAGCAGCAGAAAAAACCTAGATAATGTCACTGCTATTGTAATACAAATAGGCAAGGTACTTGCAAAAGAAGAGTAAATATGTCAACCATGCATGGAAATGTGGTTCTCTAATTTTAATCCTCATAAAACTCATCTGAGATGTTTGTTTGTTTAAAATGCAAACTCTTATTCTCTATGTATTTGGGGTAATATCTTTTTTGAGATTGAGTCTTGCTCTGTCACCCAGGCTGGAGTGCAGTGGCGCAATCTCGGCTCACTGCAAGCTCCACCTCCCGGGTTCATGCCATTCTCCTGCCTCAGCCTCCCAAGTAGCTGTGACTACAGGTGCCCACCACCATGCCCAGCTAATTTTTTTGTATTTTTAGTAGAGACGGGGTTTCACTGTGTTAGCCAGGATGGTCTCGATCTCCTGACCTCATGATCTGCCCGCCTCGGCCTCCCAAAGTGCTGGGATTACAGGCATGAGCCACCAGAGGACATCTTATATACACTCTCAAAGAAATCCTCCTTTGTTGACTGCTGTTGCTCTTTTGCCAAGACTCTGGAGGGAATCTAACATGTCTATTGCAAGCCTACTCTGTGCCCAGGCATCAAGGGCTACAACTGTATTCTGCTATTTCTCCTCTTAGAAAATGCCACTCTGCCAGAATACTTTTTCCGGTAAAAGCCAAGTATCGACACCTCTGAGCTTTTAAAACAATATCGCCCTGCCTTTGGTTCTTACTAGAATGGGGCTTAGTATCACAATGCTCTGAAAAACAAAATGGGAAAGAAATGCATTATTGCCCTTATCAATTCTTTTCCTCTTCATGTATCACCCATATACTTGTAAGAAACTTTATCCTTCCATGCACCTTTCCTCACCACATATATCATGAAGTAAATACATGTCCTAGATGCTGACTGCATATATACAGCCCTATCTGAGGCAAAATGGGGAATCTAGCCCTATTTGAACACAAGGTCTTTGTGCTGACATATTTCCTTCTTCTCTATCTCCATCTGGTCCATTCTTCCCTCAAATAGAGCTTAAGGCAAATCTCATTATATCTCTCTTTGTCTCCAGATCCTTCAATGACTACCTGTGGTTTTCAGGATAAAATCTAATTTAACATAACCAGTATTCTGTTAATCTTTTGGCCTTAGTTCTCACTAATTACCTCCATATCTCATGTCTCCCACCTAGACATATGTCTCATAGTCTATGTCACTGAAGGAATTGGTGTGAACAACACTTTTTCTCCATTTACTGATTATTAGCCTTTTAACCAAATAATATTGTAAAATCAATGTTGTCTCATTCTTTTGTATTTTCCTGTTCTCTGGAATAGGACTTTAAATATAGTTGCTAAAGTAAGGCAGAAAGACAAGAAGGAAGGAATGAAGAAGGAAGGAAGGAAGGAAAGAAGGAAGGAAGAAAGGAGAAGGGAAGGGAAGGGATAATATATTTCCTCTAGAGACTAATGCAAGATACAAGGGTTTGTTTAATGGTCTTATATATTAATACTTCATTTACCTAATGTGTTTGTACTAAAATAACAAAAAGAAATATGTAGAGAATTATAAGCTATTTCTTCTTGGCTATGATTGCTCAGTGCTACCATTTTCACTTCATTCCTCTGAGGCTCATACTACTAATGTGGTCAACAACCCATGCTGCTTATTCAGGAATCCATACAATCCCTTTAATAACTCATATTTCTGGACAGCAAAGGAGGTCAGAGAGGTAAGGAAATACTCCCCAACTGAGGAAGGTAATATTGTTTACAGGAGAAAAATGAGGAAAAACTCTGTAAGTTAGGGATTTTTTAAAAATTGGTTTTCTTGGTTTTGCTGTTCTGAAATAACCCTTGAACACACATCAGAAGCTTCTGGCAGGCCACGAAGCAACAGCCCGTTTCCTTTGATTTCCCGGAGTTGCAATGAATATCAATGGAAGATAATGCATTTCACTTCTAATGCTTTTCACAGTTTATCATCAGACATCTAGTAGTTAGGAAGTAAAGAAAGAAGTTGGGCATGACTGGTATTTATCCATACATAGTTTTTCAGCCGAGGTCAACATTTCACGCACTGTTCTCTGAAGCTGGGGCTAGGGCGGGCAAACAACATTATACAGACTTTTTATTTTATTTTATTTTTATTTTATTTTTTGTCAGCTAGCTTTTTGTTAGGTTCTAAGAATATAGGGCTTTAGTGGGACAGTGGGTGGCAAGAGGAGAGAAGAGACCCGTTTCCTGCTTTCTTGCTGTCCCTAGCATCATTACCCAAGTGTCTCTTTGTCACAATACCATTAGTTGGACTAGACTTCAGCTTCTTTTACCACTTCTAGCACCAACCCCATCATACTCGCTCACAGAGAATTGTAGAAACTGGATAACAATGCCTTATCCTTGTGGCCTGGGTCCACCTTACCTGACTTTTCCAAGCTTCTGGTAACTCAGTGCCTTCCATTTATTTTTCTGGCTACAGTGTATTAGGTGCTTTCTACAGTTACTGCCTTTAGATACCTCGGTGTTTGTTTTTTGATCCTTCACCACCACTCCTTTCCCCAGATAATAGTTAACTAATATAGTTAACTAATATATCGATAGATTGAATCCACTCTCTTGAAATATATATTGGCGGTTCTGTTTTTCTGTGTCTCTTCTTATACATCAGGACTCTGGATTCTCTTTTGAGTCTTCTGTTAATTCAGAGGTCTATACTATATTTCTATAGTATGCTTCCTATATCTCTACTTCCTGCCTTCAAACTTAGAGCCACATGTCTTGACTGCATTAAAGAAACCTCCTCTCATTTTCATGTTTCTCATTTCTAGTCAGCCTCATTTCCTGCCATGCCATAATACAACCTTATATGACAGTTATTATTTGGTCTGGTTGTTCGTTGTGTCTGCACACTTATTCCCATCAATATGCCTTTGCATATACTGTTTCCCAATATTTTCTTCCTACATATTCAAAATACCTCAGAGTTCTGCCCCAGCCCCTCTAACATTAAGTAGCAGCCTCTAACTTTCACAACTTAAAATAGTCAGTGTCTTCTGTAAGCTATTACCAGTATAGCTTACTCAGCAAGGGATATAGATTACCTTACCTTAAAATAATGATGATTTCCTGTTTATCATCAATGTCTTCTGAAGTTAAAGGTCACACAAGGACAGAGATCATATTCTCAATTCCTCTTCTACTGTCCATTGCACATATTAAATAGTCAATTGCACAGAGATGCGTTGTAATTAAATTCAGATTGTCTAGTTTCTTTCAGCAACCTCACAAGTGATCATAGTTCATCCTTTTTTCCTCAGAGTAAATGGTTCTGAGTGTGGTGTTTCCAGTACACCCATGCTTACCTTACAATATAAGGAGAAGGATTTTCTTAACAGTGATAAAATATTTTAAATTTAGCCCATATAAAACTTTTTGGCAGTTTTACCACTGCTTTAATTATTTAAAGGCCTTTTTTGAAATCTCAGACTTGACATGTGCTTGAGTAATTAAAATTCCCGTACCTTTTCATGGTGTGTCAATAGTCCCATGACTGGCATATCCTAATCTTATTTTCTTGCTCCACTAAAAACGAGGTCTGTTTGCTAGTAGAAAACAAGTGGAGAAAATTATCTGTTGTTTGCTTTAATTCTAATCTTCATGACTGATGATCCTCCCTAGTGGCTCTCTCTACATTTTCTGTCTGCATCAGGGTTCTAGTTAGGTGAAGTATACGAAAAACTGACATTTAAAAATAAAACTGCTGGAACACGTTATTCTGGAGGTGCATAATAAGGAAAACAGTCAGTTCAAAAACAAAGTTTGCCATCTATCTTTAACGTAAATAAAAGATGTTATTCTAACTTGTGCTTATGTGGTACCCTTTTTGAGCAAGTAGAAAATATTTTAAAAAGAAAAAAGTGAGAATATCCTATGTTGCTTTTTCTTTAAAAATAAGGTGAAGGGCTCTTAAAAGTTAAACTTTTTATTTTTCAGTGTCAATGATAATGAAGGCTGCGCAGGAGAAAGGCGTGAATCCGGGAGGCGGAGCTTGCAGTGAGCTGAGATGGCGTCACTGCACTCCTGCCTGGGCGGCAGAGCGAGACTCCGTCTCAAAAAAAGAAAAAAAAAAAGATAATGGCATATGAGATTTGTCATAGGCCTTCACTTTCTAATATGTGACTAAAATAAAAAGGAAACATCTGTCTGTCCCAAAATTCTAGTAGTAGACTCAGTGATTGGCTGGTATAGGATATAAATTGAGGCGGCAAAGAAAACTCATCCGGTCAGTTCTCCACACATTCTAATGAACTCCTGTCTTTGCTGGTTCAGTTCTATCTGGAAACTGAAACGAATGTTTGCAGAAAAATCGTAAACATTTAGGAGATAGTAATATTCAATTAGGGTTTTCACCTCTTACTTTGGTCCTTCCATTAGTGACTTTTTCTCTACCTCCTGCAGCTCCTGGTGACTCTGAAAACTTTGTCCTTTCACCATCTTTAGACAGAGGCAGATCATGACTCTAACCTCAGCCCTATCATCAGATAAGCTGAAGAAACAATTCGCCCAGCAAGAGCTGGGAGGAGCTCCACTGCACAGTTCCTGTCTGACCCATCAGTTAAAGGCTAGTACTTCCTGGGCACTGCTGCCTGTATTGTTTTCCTCCTTAAATTTATTTTCATTCCCAATTCCCATGATATCATGATTTTCCTACCTTAGCTCCTGCCCCTCATTTCGGACTGGAATTTCACTTTCCCTTTACACTTGAGCCTGCTTTGAAGGTCTGCTTTCAATTCTCTTGCCCTAATAACAGGGACAAAGATTCATGTGCTCCTTGGTGATCTGGTACTAGTTTATCACTGTGGACAATGAGACTATCTGAGTCCTCTTTTCTTCCTGCTGATCAGTCGGTTATTTCCAAAAATGTATCATCAAAGTTCATTTATCCATCTCTAAGATTTACTTGCTTTTCAGTTGTTATTGTAATATTTACGATCTCTCTCTGCGTGTGTGTGTGTGTGTGTGTGTGTGCGTGCATGTGTTTCAATAAAACTTTTGGCTTTTTTTCGGCCTCTGGGTTTCTAGCAGGAATAGAGAATAGCTGGTTAAATACAGTTATGCTTTCTATCTTTGAATATTATAAAATGAGACTGTAGTAGGGGGTTGGAGCAAAAAGCCAAATGCCTCCTGCAGATAGGTTTCTGCATGTTTCTGATACAAAACCTTTGAAGATTTTGTCTGAATTGTATTTATTTATTTATTTATTTTTGAGACAGAGTTTCACTCTTGTTGCCCAGACTGGAGTGCAATGGCGCGATCTCGGCTCACCACAACCCCCTCCTCCCAGGTTCAAGTAATTCTCCTGCCTCAGCCTCCAAGTAGCTGGGATTGCAGGCATGCACCACTACGCCCAGCTAATTTTATATTTTTAGTAGAGACGGGGTTTCTCCATGTTGAGGCTGATCTCGAACTCCTGACCTCAGGTGATCCACCCACGTCGGCCTTCCAAAGTGCTGGGATTACTGGTGTGAGCCACTGCACCCGGCTTTGTCTGAATTTTAGTTACCTGTTCTGTTAGGCATGAAGTTTGGCTACATTACTCACTTACATCTGACTGATGCAGGGGTTTCTATCAGAAATTGGAATTTTACGCTTCTTACAAGCTAAGAAATTAGATAATTACAGCTTCATGGATGCTGATAGATGACAACAGACTCTAGGATCAGAGAGAAAAGATTTTATCACTTAAAGCACAGCAAGTATGCCATCAAGTCCTGCAGAGTAATGCAGAGGGGGCATTCTGGAAACTATGCATGCAGTGAGTTTGCATTGCAAAAAACTGTAAACTTTAAGTATCACTGCTTCCATAGGAACCTGCTCTTTGTATGTATGAAGATATCTCATCCCTTAAGGATGCTCACTGCAAGTACAACCATCAGAAATGGCTGAGAAAAGAATTATCTGTGTCTTGCATTCTTGTTATGCCCAGCAAAAATGGGTATGAATATTCAATATTTGTGCCAGATTAACTCTCCCAATATTCTTTAACTGCAAATTCCATAAGAATCTCTTGGAGAATTTGTTTAAAATCCACATTTCTGAATACCACATGGAAAGATTTTTTTTCCACAGTTCTGAGATATTGTTCAAGAAACTGTACATTTCACATAATCAACACGTGATTCTGAAACAGATTATTCTCCTAGCACAGTATGTTATTGTCCCCAAATTGTGTATGCACAGGCATGCCAGTTGTGAAACAAAAAGAAAAGAGTAAAAAGAAAGAAACAAACAAAAACTTAAACATACCACACATTCCATAGTCAAGGATTAACATGTTCATGGCTCTCTATTATCCTGGCATATATGACCAATTCTGACCACAGAAGAGATATTATACTAGATTACTATCTTTGGCAAGATATTCATGTTTGTGGCTCTCTGTAAAGTGTTTTAGCTAAGACATGAACAAAGAAGAGGTGTGAGAGAGAAATGAATGACTCTGAGTCAAATGGAGTTGGAATGTTCCCTCCTGAGAATCAGAGGATTGTTAGAATAATAGTTTAGAAAGAAAGTAAGACAAAGAGCCTACATACTTGAGATCTGCTTTTGAGCTTATTCTTCTATAAACAATGTAACTTTAAGAAAATCACAGACTCTGTTAATTCAATTGTAAAATAGGGATCCTACCTGCCTTGACTGGGAGATGCTGTGACTCAGATGAGAAAATGAGTATAGAGTATCTTGTCAGCTGGAAAGTGATATGTGGATGCCAGCAATGGTGATAATTTTACTCTAGGTAGTTTCTGCCCTTTAAGAAAAATGCAGCCTACTCTATAAAACAAATACAGGACTTTGAAATACGTCTTTTCAGGGTAACATATTATCTGATTAGCCTGAATATCTTTCAAATTGAAAGATTACACTAGTCCAGCTCTATTAAGGGATCTGTTGTTAGAAAGTCTTTTATTTTTATTTTTTATTTTTTAAGTGCAATGGCGTCATCTCAGCTCACTGCAACCACCATCTTTCAGGTTCAAGTGATTCTCCTACCTCAGCCTCCCAAGTAGCTGTGGTTACAGGTGCCTGCCACCACGACCGGCTAGTTTTTGTATTTTTAGTAGAGATGGAGTTTTGCCATGTTAGCCGGGCTAGTCTTGAACTCCTGACCTCAGGTGATCTGCCCGCCTCGGCCTCCCAAAGTGCTGGGATTACAGGCGTGAGACACTGTGCCTGAACTAGAAAGTCTCCTTTTATAATATTTTTCTATTGAGAATTGCTACTAATTAGCAATTTCTACATCATTGCCTTTTAGTACTTAGGAAAATTAAAAAGCAAAGAGCTACTCACCCAGAAGGCCTCAATGTTGTTTCTATATAATTATTTTTCTTTAACTCTTGCTCTTAGAGCCCTTTAGTGAAAATGTTCTAGTATAGAACAAAATGGCAGCATTGATAGACAAGTTGTTCTTTGTTTAATAGTTTCAGGCCACAGCCTAGGAGCTCAGGAAGTTTGTTCTCACAGTTTCTTCCTGACTGTGACTTCCCACCACATAATAGCTCTGCTCCAGGCATGATGTCTAGTGAGCACAAGTGGTCAGGTTTGAGCACTATCTACTATAAGAGAACTGATTTTAACTAAATTGTCCACATAGAGCAGGTGATCTGTGTTAGTCTGTTTGTGTTGCTATAAAGGAATACCAGAGACTGAGTAATTTATGAAGAAAAGAGGTTTATTTGGCTCACAGTTTTCAGGCTATATGGGAAGCATAGTGCTGGTGTCTGCTTTTGGTGAAGGCCTCAGGGAGCTTTTGCTCATGGTGGAAGGCAAAGAGGGAGTTGGCATGTCACATGGCAAGAGGGAGAGACAGAGAGACTAAGAGAGAGGCAGGAGGTTCTAGACTCTTTTAAACAATAAGATCCTATGTGAACTCTTGAAGTGAGAATCACTTATTAACATGAGAACAGCACCAAGCCATTTAAGAGGGACCTGCCCTCATGACCCCAATACCTTCCACTAGACAAACCTCCAACTTTGGAGGTCATATTTTAAGATGAGATTTGGAGAGGACAAATATTTAAACTACATCATTCTACTCCTGGCCCCCTAAATCTATGTCCTTCTTATATTATAAAGTAAAATTAGCCCTTTTCAATAGTCTCCAAAAGTCATAAGTTGTTTTACCATTAACTTAATTAAAAGTCCAAAGTCTGGTCTTATTTGAGACTTAAGACACATTTTGTTTCTGTTTGTTGGCTTTTGTTTTGTTTTAACCTATGAACCTGTTAAATTTAAAATAACTTACTTCTAAGATACAATGGTGGTACAGGTGTTGGGTAAACATTTCTATCTTAAAAGGGATAAACTGGCTAAAAGAACAGGCAATATGCCTCACGCAAGTCTGAGACCCATCAGGGCAGGCAAGAAAATAATATTCTTTGACTCTTTTCCTCGTAACATGAGCACACTGATGCAAGCGGTGGGATCCCAAGGTCTTGAGCCGCTTTGCTCCTGTGGCTTTGCAGGATGAAGAGCCCATGGCTGCTTTCACAGGTTGGAGTTGAGTGCCTGTAGCTTTTCCAGGCTCAATGTATGAGCTGGGGATGGCTCTATCTTTCTTGGGTCTAGAGGGTGGTAGCCTCATTCCCACAGTTCCACAAGGTAGGGCCCTGATGGGAACTCTGTATGGGGGTTCAAACCCTTTATTTCCCTTCAGCACTGCCCTAGTAGGGTCTCTCTGTGTGGGTTTTACCCTTGTGGCAGACTTCTGCCTAGGCACCCAAGCCTGCCAGTACTTTCTTTGAAATCTAGGGGGAAGTTGCCACGACTCTTTTACTCTCATATATTGCACGCCTTCAGAATTAACATGATATGTAAGCTGCCAAAGCCTACAGCTTGTGCCCTTCTGAGCAGCAGCCCAAGCTATATGTGGGGACCTTTGAGCCAAGGCTGGAGCTGGAGCAGACAGGATGCGGAAAGCAGTGTCCCAAGGCTACACAGGGCAGCAGGACCTTGGGCTTGGCCCCTGAAACCATTCTTTCTTTCTCGACCTCTGGAGCTATGAAGTGGGGCCTGTCATAGAGATTTTTGAAATGCCTTTGAGGCCTTTTTCCCAGTGCCTTGAATATTAGCCCTTAGCTCCCTTTTAGTCATGCTAATCTCTCTAGCAAGTGGATGCTTTAGAGCCCACTTGGATTTTTTTTCCTGAAAGTGCTTTTTTTTTTTTTTTTGCACACAGCCAGGCTGTAAATTTTTCAAGCTTTTATGCTCTGCTTCTCTTTTAAATATGTTTTAATTCTATGTCATTTATTTGTTCCCATATGTGACTTAGGTTGTTAGAAGCAGCCTTGCCACATCTTGAATGCTGTGTTGCTTAGAAATTTCTTCTGCCAGATACCCTAAGTCACTAATCACAAGTTATGCCTTCTACAAACCCTCAGGACATGGACACAATGCAGCCTTTGCTAGGCTGTAACAAGGGTGACCTTTGCTCCAGTTTCCAATACATTTTTTATTTCCACCTGAGAATTTGTCAGCCATGCCTTCACTAACTATATTTTTGTTAGTACTTTGGTCCCAACCATTTAACAACTTCTCTAAGAAGTTCCAAACTTTTTCTTGTCTTTTTGTATTTTTTGTTGAGCCCTCTAAAATTTTTAAATCTCTCTTACCCAGTTCTAAAGCTGCTTCCACATTTTCATGTATTTTTATAGCAACACCCCACTCTCTGAACCAATTTTCTGTGTCAGTCTGTTTGAGTTGCTATAAAGGAATACCTGAGAATGTGAGTATATAAAGAAAAAAAAATTATAAAGAAAATAGGTTTATTTGGCTCATGGTTTTTCAGGCTGGACATGAAGCATAGTGCCAGCATCTGCTTTCAGTGAAGGCTTGGAAGATTTTACTCATGACAAAAGTCTAAGGGGAAGTCAGCATATCACATGTCTAGAGAGAGAACAAAAGTGAGAGGGAGAAGATGCCAGGCCCTTTTAAATAACTAGATCTCACATGAATCCATGCACTGAGAACTCACTCATTAACATGAAGTCAGCACAAAACCATTTATGAGGAATCTGCCCTTGTGACACAAACACCTTCCATTAGGCCCACCTTCAAATGTGCTGGTCACATTTTAACATGAGATTTGGAGAGGACAAACATTTAAACTATGTTACGCTCTGAGTGCCAATTCTGTACAGCTGAATGATCACTATCATAATGAACTGTGCCAGGGATTCTTAATTTATTAATAAGAATGGTTTACCTGCCTGGAGTTTTCTTTTAATGTTGATGCAAATCAAACTAGGGAAAAAGTATTTGTTTTTATTTATTAATTATTATTATTGTTTTTTTAGAGATGGAGTCTTGTTTTGGTCCCCAGGCTGGTCTCAAACTTCTGGCTTCAAGCAATCATCTCAGTCCTCTCACTCCTCCCAAAACCTGGGATTACAGGTGTGAGCCACATCGTCCAGCCAGAGAAGCATTTTTGCAATGACATAATCAAGTACAAAAAAAATTGTAAATATTTGTAATCTGAACATTTCTTATTTCTTGCCTTTTAAATGCTGATAAAAGTTTGTGTTATTTGTACTACGATTCAACATAGGACCATTTTTAAACTCAATGGACTCTTGATGTCACTTCATGATAATAAACACTTCTTTTAGAATCCCCAGTTTTCAAGTGAGGATCAAAATTCAGTACCCCATCAGTTAGGAAACTTTTTTCTGTGAGGGGTCAGATAATAGTTTTGAAAATATTGTATGGGTAGTAATATAACAAATGAGAGAACAGATTTCCCTAAGATTTTTATTGGTGAAATTCAAATAATAAAAATAAAAATAAAACTTTTTTTGTAATATAGGTTTACTAATAAGGAAAATGGAATCCATTTTTTGAATTAACATTTTATTTATTGGAGGTTCAAAATTGATGTTCCTTACCATCAGCAAAGCTACTGTAAGTATTCATTTGTTAAAAAAAAAAGTATTGGTTTTCAGAGAGTGAAAAGTATTCCCGTTAGTGCATCCAATTTGGCCCAAATTCATACTTTTTTCATCTCTGCAGTAAGTAGCCTACTTTGTGTCTACTTTTAGCCCAACCCTTGAGTGCTCTCTTAGATGCTAAGTCAAATAAAAGATTGAGTGATGAGTACAAAATACTCACAAGTGGTAATGATGACACTGGAAAGTACTGAGTAGAATTTTTGGTAGAACACGTCAATGGAATTTTTTTTTAATTTTACAAAGGATTAAGCCTTATGTCCCAGTAATAGTCAAGCCTTCATTCCTTATGCTAAAACTGTCTCCTATAAATTGTATGGTAGAACTGGTTACATAGGACAAGAGGTAAAGATTGTTTTATTCTTATACATTTTGAGAAAAAGATATGCTTTATAGTGAACTTTGTATTTTCATGAAATATAATTCTAAATGCAGAATTATAGATTGATTATAGAACAAAAGCTCACTTTACATCTGGGAGAGAGGACTCACAAAAATCCAAAGATATTAAATAAATTATCAGAGTCCTTGTTGGCTCTGATATCTCTCTTTATTCTCTAAAATGCAGAACCGCTTTAAATATGTTCTGAATTAGCTTTAGAGTAAGAGAATCTTGGGTCATAGTTTGACTCTGACTCTTACTAGCTTGGTAATATTTATCAAAGAATAGAGCTTACACAAATCATTCTTATCATGTATAAACTAGAAATTATAATACTTATTTTCTAATATCACTTTAAGAAAAAAATGAATATATTGTATGTGGAAAAACTACATATAGTAAGCGACATACACTCTTTTTTATGTTCCTTTTGAAATGTATTTCAACAAAGTATAACACTCTTGCACAAGAAAGATAAAGATTAATACTCATCATGGAGGTAAAAAATATATAACGTATAATTGTAAAAGGGGCATAATGATAGTTGTTTTTCACTTCACTTTTTCTCAACCATAAATAATAATATTTGTTAATTAAGGTTTGTATGAAGATGTGAATATAAAGTACTTTATATATTGGAAAATACCTGGTGATATTATATTATTATTTAGAAAACATATGATTATGGCAGGGTGTGGTGGCTCACGCCTGTAATTCTAGCACTTTGGGAGGCCAAGGCGAACAGATCACCTGAGGTCAGGAGTTCAAGACCAGCCTGGCCAACATGACAAAACCCCGTCTCTACTAAAAATACAAAAATTAGTGGGGTATGGTGTTGCATGCCTGTGGTCCCAGCTACTTGGCAGGCTGAGGCAGGGGAATTGCTTGAACCCAGGAGGCAGCGGTTGCAGTGAGCCAAGGTTGCGCCACTGAACTGTAGCCTGGGGGACAGAGAGAGATTCCATCTCAAAAGTAAAAATAAAAAAAAAAAAAAGAAAAAGAAAATATATGATTATATGGTAGCTACTTTTGATTTACAGTTTGATTATCAGCATATTGTCATAGATGTTTTTCCTAAGCATCTATGTGATTCTTCACAAAAGAAACCCTAAATGTTAAAGATAAAGTTACAGAAAAGTTATTTAAGAAGTGGAAATGTATCCTTAAAACTCAGATTGGATTTCTGCATCTAACTTTGTTTTCCACATTGCAAAAGTGCAGTCATGGGTAGCAGTTATGTACAAGGATGTGGGGTGAGCAACTTACTGCTTTCCATGTCTTCACTGTGAACTCTAGAATCCCATTATTCTTTCTTCCTTCTCCAATAGATGGTGATTTTTTTTTTCATATATACGTTTTTGTATGACAATTGTATCCACAGGATACATTATGATGTTTAGCCTCAAATCAAACATAGAGTAATAACTGCTTTATCACTTGTTCCGAAACACCAGCTCAGGTAAGCAAAACTCCAAACTGTCAACTAAACACCGAAGTTTGAGTGTGAATGACATTTGATTGAAGGGACAATCCTAATAATGGCCTGCAAAGCCATTATTGGACAGATTGATCCATACGATCTTGTCTCCTGCACATCTAACACCATCACTACCTCTCTGGCCTCTTCCTACAACTCTGTCATTCTTCATTCCACTCCAGCCGCTCTGGCATTTCCTCAAACATGTGAGTCATGTTCTCTGCTTTGCTCTGACTGCCCTGTGCCTAGATAATCTTCCAATACATGCACATGGCTACCTCTTTCACTGCCTTTGAGACTTTACCTAAATACCACCTTCTCAAGGAGACTGAATTTCACCTCATATGTAAAATTGTTCTCCTCAACACCAATGTCCATGGTACTTTTTCCCCTGCCCTACTTTTATTTTTTTCCAGGTACTTGTCACTATTCCATCCAATTTATCCCCTGTGGCTGGAGTGACCACAAAAGTGGCAGCAGGGGAGTTTCTGCAGGGGGTACTTCAAACTCTCCTGAGTGGGCACTGGTTGCAATTCCAAAGACAGAAGCAGTAAATGCCAGAGTGATCAATCCTAACTATTTAGGAGAGGAACTTATATACAGAGGGCTGAAGCTTTCTGGTGACAGACAGCAACAGAACAGATGTTTGACCTGGATATGTCTTCCACCAGTTGGGAAGGAGATTTGGCTTATGGAGTTTATTAATATGAGGGTCTAAGGAGGTTCAGGGCTAGGGCTAGTTTCTATGCATTTAGCAAGAGGAATAATCTCTCACTGTTTTCAGTAACAACCTAAACACCTTAATTAGTGCCTGGGCCTAGCTTGAGTTCAAGGGCCTAGCTTGAGTTTAAGCCTGCATGGAAACCATGCAGCTGGCTGGTTCACAGAGCTGTCAAGGCACTCCGTGTTTCTCAGGACAAAGAAAGCAGGAGGAAGTGGGGGGCCCTCAAGTCACCTTCTAGTTAGAAGATGACTAGTTAGAAAGTGACTATTGGTGCACCAGTTCACAGGGGATACTGAGTATGGAGTATATGGGAACTCTATTATACTACTTTTCTGGAAATTTAAATATATTCTAAAATAAAAACATTAAAAAGTAAGAAACAACCTGATAAAATGGTATTTTAAAACTGCAAAAATACAACATAATTTTACATTTAGTTAAGATAATATTGAAAGTTGTGTATGTTAGTAATATTTTCTAAATATAATATTCTAGTTAGAATAATATTATTCACTATTATCAATAATATTAATAAATTATTAACAATATTATTAATAATATTCATTGTTAACAATAAACTAGATATATTGTTAGTAATACGTATTATTATATCATATACAATTATATTATTATATTATGTATTGATAATTATATAATTGATAATCAATACATGTATTGTTGATTATTACATAATAATTAACAATGATATTAATGATTATAACAGTAAATTTTATTATTTATTGCTTATCTCTCCTTGTAAAAATTTATGCTTCAAGAGGGATTTTTCTTGTACTTTGTTTAGTGCTGTCTCTCAAGCATTGAGGAGAGTACTTGGCATGTATTTATTGACCTGATTAATAAATAAAATGTGGAAAATTATTTTATTTGTGACTCATTTTAGATGTCTTTGTTTTCTTATTATCAACACCATAATATTTTTCTTTCCCTTTCTTACCCTTTGCTTATTTTGTTTTGTTTTTGGTCAATTTATCTTATTTTTGTCATTGAGGAGTAGTATCCATGATTCCAGGTTTGGTATAAAAATAATAATCTATATTTTTCTTTTTTTAAATAAATTCTATCACCTATATTGCAGCTCTTTGCTGTGAAAGAAAATCACCCGTTTCTCAAAAGCCAATGTTGAAATCTAAGATAACTAAGGTTGTAATATATTTGTAAAGTACATATGTTCTCTCTGAGGATCTTAATATTTTAATACTCTACCCTACTATGATGACTAATTTTGTTTGTCAACTTGACTGAGCCATGGGTTCCCAGATATTATCATAGCTCAAACATTATTCTGAGTGTTTCAGTGAGGGTGGTTTTGAATTAGATTACCATTTAAATTGGTAGATTTGCCCTCCTGAATGTGGGTGGGCCTCATTCAATCATTGGAAGGCCTAAACAGGACAAAAAGGCTGACTGTCTCCTCAGTGAGGGAGGATTGCTTCTGCTTGGTTGCCTTTGAACTGGGATATTGGCTTTCCCCAGCTTTTGAACTTGAGCTGAAACATTAGCTATTCTTGGGTCTCAAGCCTGCTGGCCTTGAGCCTGGAACTATATAGGCCCTGCTGTTTCTCAGATCTTTGGGCTCAACTGGAACTGCATCATCAGCTCTCTTGGGAGTCCAGCTTTCGAACTTACCTGCAGATCCTGGGATTTGCCAACCTCCACAATCATGTGAGGCAATTCCTTATTAAAATAAATCGCTCTCTGTATACACACACACACTCACACACACACACATCCTATTGGTTATGTTTTTCTGGAGAACTCTGACTGATACACCCAGTAATTTTCAAGAAATTTAATCTGAACATGAAAGCAAAAGAAAAAATAGCTTGAATTACAGCACATGAGACTTAGGTTAGACTTAAGTGAAAACTTAATTGACCTAGTTAGGAGTCTCTAGGTGAATTAAAGGAGATGATTTTGAGACAATCTCAGGATATGAAGTTAATGAATCAGAGTAAACTACTTGCTGCAGATCTATTTAGAGGATAGCCTGATGTTGAGAGAATGACTTACATCACCCTGTGTGTAATCATGTTCAGGAGAGCCCATCTCTCCACTTCCCCATAGAAACCATCATGAAAGCTGCTGAAGAATGGACAGAAAGGATTGGGGTGTGTTAGCCCTTGGCTACAGGGCAGAATATGGCCAAAACCAAGCACCACAACCAGTCTGCACTATAGACACAATGTTTCACAGATTTGCTTGAGAGTTATGGCTACAGTTTAATCTAAAATATTAATAGATCTCATGGAGAAAGATTCCAAATAAATTGTGTAGTTACTTGTCCTTAAGGAGGTGGAACATAACTTCTCTCTCCTTATTGTGGGATCACACAGCAAATTCCTTCCAAAAGAGTTGCATGTAGAAAGGGAAAAAAAGAGTAATATGACAGTGGAGGAATTTGAAAAACTTTAACTCAACAAGGTGATCAAGGCCAACATCAACAAGCATAAATGATGTTGATAGTATGTAGTTGATAGAATGTAATGAAAATGGCACTTTACTCCTGTGTATATCTTTCCAAAACCCATAGGCACAGTGTATGCATGAGATTAAAAAAAACAGATGAATCCCAACTGAGGGACATTCTCCAAAATATCTGAGTAGTGCTCCTCCAAGGTGTCAAAGTCATCAAAATCAAAGGAAATTTGAGAAACTATCACAGCTACAAGGAGCTCAAGGAGACTGAACAATTATATCTAATGTGATTTCTTGAATAAGATTCTGGCACAGAAAAAGGACATTCATAAAAACTAAGGGAATGTGAATAAAGTATGGACTTTAGTTAATAATAATGTATCAATATGGGCTCATTTGTTCACAGGGGATACTCAGTGTGGAATATATGGTACCTCTATTATCCCACTTCTCTGGAAAACTAAATAAATTCTAAAATAAAAACTTCATTTAAAAGTAAGAAAAAACTAATAAAATGATGTTTCAAAACTGCAAAAATACAATGTAAGTTTAAATTTAATTAAAACAATATTGAATTTTAGCTAAAATAATATTGAAAATATATAATATTTTTATAAATTGCTATTACTTTTGTATACATGTATAATATTTTACAATAATTAATTACAGATACTATTCCACCAATATAACTGTGTATCATATACTTAAATGTTCAACCATTTTTAAACTGATGGGAAATATAGGAAGATCACTTTAGACAAAGCTTGTATTTATCTGTCTGTATATCTATTTATTTATAGATACGGGGTTTCATCTGATTTTGTACATGACATTTAAAATTTAGTACCTGAATTTTTACTGCTAGAGACTGAATTTTGTTACTTAGAGCTGAACAATAAACAGTAATTTGTAAACAAATATGTATTTCAAACACTTGGTGAGAGTTCATATAATTTTCTTACCATATGTCTTAAGAGATTTGAAACTCACCAGTAAGCCTTAATGCTCTTTCCAGCTACAAAATGTGACTTTTCTGTAACTTACCTGAAAAATGAGCCTATAATGAAAGTCAAACCTGTAACACTCAGTTCTCAAAATTGCCTGTGCTGTGACACTGTAAATGCTCTAAGACTTCCAAATTCAATTTGACTAGATGCCTGAAGCTATACTTGATACTAGAGTAGTATTAAATTATCCTACTTTTATATCAAAGAGAATGATCATCTATCTATCTATCTATCATATATGTATGTATGTATCTATCTATCTATCTATCTAATTTATCTGTCTATCTCTAATGTGTATGTGTCAGGGAGGAAGGGGGGAGAATATAGGGTAATAATAATAAATGGATTCTTATTCAACCATAAATGCAGCAAAATACAAAGACACAGGTCAAAATCATCCTATAAGTCAAAAGATATAATAGGAATAACAATAGCTATCATTTACTGAGTGCTTTCTTGTTGCAATCACCATAATAAGAACTTTTATTACATTCATTTACCCTGTCCAGCAATGAGAGTTGGTAGTTGAAGTTGATACTATCATCACATACCACATCAGGAAGGGGGAACTGAACACAGGGAGATTTAATAACTTGCTCACAGTCACACAGTTAGTTAGAGGTAGAATTCTAACCAGGTATCTAACACGAGAAAATATCACCTGATCTGGACCTATTATTTCTAAAGAAAGTATTTCTCTGGTGTTGGGTTTTTACCACTTCCCACTTCCTGACTTAGAGGCTAAAATTTTTAAATCAATTTCAATTAACATTAACAATAAACTATGAAAAAATTAAAACAATCTCATCCACAATAACATCAAAAAGGATAAAATACTTAAGCATAAATGTAACTGAGGGTGTGAAAGATCTGTACACTGAAAACTAAAAGACATTGATGAAAGAAATTTAACAAGACACAATAAATGGAAAGATATTCCATGTTCATTAGAAGGATTAATGTTGCTACAATGTCTATACTACCCAAAGCAATCTACATATTTAATGCTACTCCTAGCAAAATTTTAATGCCATTTTTCACAGAAATAGAAAATTCATATGTAACTAAAAAATAGCCAAAACAATCTTGAGCAAAAGAACAAAGCAGGAAACATCATACTTCCTGATTTCAAACTATATTACAAAGTAATAGTAATCAAAACAGTACTGGCATGAAAACAGACACATAAACAAATGGAGCAGAATAGAGAGTCCACAAATATGTCCACAAATCAATAGTAAACTAATGTTTGACAAGAGTGCCAAAAATAAAATGGTGCAGGAAAAACTGGGTATCAACATACAAAAGAATGAAACTGGACCTTTATCTTGCACCTCACACAAAACTTAACTTGAAGTTAATTAAAGACTTAAATGTAAGAATGGACACTGTAAAACACTTAGAATAAAGCATAAGGAACAAGTTCTTTGAAACTGGCTTTGTCAATGAAATTTTGGATCTGATACCAAAACCAGAGGCAATAGAAATAAAAATAAACAAGAGAGACTACATAAAACTAAAAAGTTTGTGCATAGTAAAGGAAACTATCAACCAAATGAGAAGGAATGGGAGAAAATATTGGCAAACCATACATCGATAAGTTAATATCCAAAATATATAAGGAACTCATACAATGCAATAGCAAAAAATATTTCAATTTTTAAATCCAGTAATTTTTCTCTTTGTTGTGTAGCTATACTAAAAACTTTTTTTCTTTTATATACCAAAGTTTGTCTATAGCTAAATGTCCCAGGGTGAAACTGTGATGCTACTGCAGATGCAATCTTCAATGGGATTCCCTTGATCAATTTCAGTATTACAATATATGCACCCTAACATGAATAAATTCATTATATTTCTTTTTTTTTTTTTTTTTTGAGACAGAGTCTCGCTCTGTTGTCCAGGCTGGAGCACAATGGCATGATCTCAGATCACTGCAACCTCTGCCTCCTGGTTTCAAGCAATTCTACTGCCTCAGCTTCCCAAGTAACTGGGATTTTAGGCACCTGCCACCATGCCTGGCTAATGTTTGTATTTCTTTTTTAGTAGAGACAGGTTTTCACCATGTTGGCCAGGCTGGTCTCAAACTCCTGACCTCAGGAGATCCACCCTCCTTGGCATCTCAAAGTGCTGGGATTACAGGCATGAACCACCATGTCTGGCCAATTCATTATATTTCTATTCTATAATCAAAGGTGCCTAATCTGTTTATTCTTTGAATTTCAGAATCCAGTTAAATTCTACATGTTCCATATATGTATCCATATAACTCTTCTTAAATTTGGGACTCTAGGAAAGTATACTGAGATTGATTAATCTCATGTTTTAATCAGTAGATTGTACTGTGTAATTGGATTCTTGAGGGTATTAAAATTCATGAACTACTATAGGAACCAACTTTTTCTTTCTTTTCACTGCTTGAAAATGAACCATGGAATCTCTTTCCCTACCACTGGAAAATATCTTAAGCATATTTCATAGCTTTCTGGTTAGATTACTGTGATTGTTACTATTGAGTGTCAATTTGGTTGGATAGAAGGATGCAAAGTATTGTTCCTGGGTGTGTCTGTGAGGGTGTTGCCAAAAGAGATTAACATTTGAGTCAGTGTACTGGGAGAGGCAGACCCACCCTCAGTCTGGGTGGACAACCTCTAATAAGCTGCCAGCATGGCTGGAATAAAGAAGGCAAAAGAACAGTTTAAGGACTTGACTTGCTGAGTCTTCCAGCCTTTGTCTTTCCCCCATGGTGGATGCTTCCTGCACTTAAATATCAGACTCCAAGTTCTTCACCTTTTGGACTCTTGGACTTACACCAATGGTTTGCCAGGGGCTCTCAGGCCTTTCACCACAAACTGAAAGCTGCACTATTGGCTTCCCTACTTTTGAGGTTTTGGGATTTGGACTGATCCACCACTGGCTTCCTGCTCCTCAACTTGCAGACAGCCTATTGCGGACTTCACCTTGTGATCATATGAGTCAATTCTCCTAATAAGCTCCCTTCACATCTACATATATCCTATTAGTCCTGTCCCTTTAGATAACTCTGACTAATACAATTACTTTGGGTCTCATTATAATCTCAAATTTACATCAAAACTTCAATTTTACATCCAATTCCACACTTCAATCCTACCAATTTATGCCTTGAAATATGCAGAGGACACTTGTGGGATGTATGTATTCTTTTATTCCATTTGTCCTTGCCCTTTGATTTCTCCACAACCCTCCTGTTGTTAGTTCTTTAAAAGTTAGGAAAGAAATCTGTGAAATTCCAATTTTATTGGAGGGAGTGATAGAGCAGAAAAAAAGGAGAGGGAATCAGATGAAAAGTGATGAAGTTTGATCTTGTTCCTTAAAGTTCTTTTTCTAAGGCTTCCACATGCTGGCTGTGTTTTTGAGGGATTCACTTCTTGGTTCTTTAGTACCTTATCATGAACACATGTACTATATTATTCACCAATGACGTACTCTTTGGTTAATCTTCTATAATCTTCCTCAGCATTTGAACTTTGATTCACCCCATCAGCCTTTCACAGGTGGGGTTTATAGCCCAGGCAGGCTGCCTTCTTGAGCACGTCAAAGCAATATAAGTCCAGTTACTTTCTGTAGCATAGAATTGATCCACAGAATGCTCATACCATTTTTTTTTTTTTTGCCAGTTAGTAATTGCAGATTGTCTGTTATTCCCTCTGTTTTTACCCTGCTATTTTGTTACCCTTGTCAATTCCTGACTTTGAATCTCTATGAGCTATAAACACATAGGCCCCTAGTTCCACTGACAGAATACAGAAGAACTGAGATTGTGCAGATCAGCCATTATTTATATAGAAAGGGAGACACAGATCTTCCTAAGCGTAGAAACAGGATGCTCCTAGAACCCTTTTCATTTAGCCCAGATGAGGAAAGCATTCTGTTTTATTTTGAACATCAGTTCATACTCTGCTAAAAGCTCTCCTCTTCTGGGACTCTCTTCAATTCCATCCATATAAGTTTCTATCATATTTCTGATTTTCTCTCAAAGAGCTTTTATCAGAGGGTAATAGCTGGAAGGGTCTTGCTCCTTATAATTCATTGATGTCTCTCTAGATCACAAATAATGAATACTTTTTAGAAGGGTGTAAGAGAAAGAGAGGGAGAGATAAAGGGATGAAGGAGGGAAACAAGGAAGAAAGCAAAGAAGGGAGGAAGGGAGGGAAGGAAGGAAGAAGTACTTACCTGGTACAAATTTGTCAGAATAAAATTTTAGGAAAAAAACTAAAGCCATTCATACCATATTGGCCTTTTTTAAAACAAAAGCAAGGGTTATGTGGAAAATTAGGATTGAGAGCTATAGGTAAAAATGTGATTTTTTAATTTTATGATTACTAATTCAAAGAAAACTACATAGAAAGTGCTAGTGTGGGTGTGTGTGTGTCTGTGTGTGTGTGTGTGTATTTCTTTCTAGTTGTCGTAATGTTCTTTTCTACATTGCCATCTATTATAGGAGAAATCTAGATAAGCATACCTGAACTAGTTACCAAAGCTTTGCCTGAAAGATTCTCTTAAGTTCTATTATTACTTGGAAGTGCTTCTAGCAAAGTGTAACCATTTTTCTCTAAGGGGTGAGATGGTGAAAGGAGGAATCAGAAGCTATGCCAATTCTAGAATAATCTGTATATTAGGAGAATATTTTAAATTTTCCAGTTGCTGTAATTCAAGAAAAAAACTAAACTGCTTGTAATAATAGAGGTCCATTATGTACTCCCAGATGGTTGAAGTGTGAGTGAATTGTGATACTTTGAAGACAAGGATCTGGAATAGTCTGAACGGATATTTACTTTGATCATGTCTTAGAATTATAAAAGAGTGTTATGAATTTTCTAAAATGACATCTGTAATTGCTTGGTCTTAGGGTAAGATGAACTATATTTATGTTAATGATAATGAGCCTTTAACTTCATACCCTTCAGAAAAAACACCACATGAAATTTAATGACCAACATGTCTGCATTGTTCCTTTTACATTTTACCTTTAAAAAAGCATCTTTAAGTACAATAACTTTCAGGGCACTTGGAAGTCTCCTTATGCTCAAGAGGAAAATGATTCAGTAATGAAAATACTGGCGTTCCTTCTCAGAGTATTTTGGGTCCTTGAATTTGCCTTTGGAAAAATCTCATTTAAATGCTGACCAGCTCTGCCCTTGCTCAGTTTGCGTCTTTTACAGCATCATATTGAAAGACGATTAATCTGATTAGATAAGGACACAGATTCTTGGTGAATTGCTGTATCTGATTTTCCTTTGAGCCCATTTACATGATAATTGTCTTGGATGTTTCGTGCAAGCACTTTATAAAGTGCAGATATTTTAAAATCATGGTTAGTCACTAAAAAACACATGTTGGCACTTTTCCTATGAGAGTAATTAGTGACATTAATGCAAAGAAAGATTAGTCTACTTATCCTAATGCCTGATAACATATCATCTATTCTTTCTTCATAGGCTGGCTTTTTTAATTAGTTAAATAAAGGCTTATGTCACAAAGAAGACAATGCTCATGAGATATCTTATCGAATTGAGGTGATGATTTAGTCATTCAGGTCTTTGCTCAGAATGATGTGCTTTTAGATGCCCAAATACTGACAAGACTGAAGAATGTTGCCATTTCTCAAGAATCATTTATTAATTACCTACTGCATGCTGACAGCTATGTAACACATTGTTGAGGGACACTAAGGAAAAAAATATGGTCTCCGCTTTGAAGAATTTTCTGTCCAACTAAGGAAACGTGATGGGGATATGAGGATGTGAGTTAAGAATTTTTACAAAATTTCCATGAGTAAGCGAAAAATAATCTACCATGTGTCAGCTGAATGGTCTTAAAGAGGCTATTTGATTATGCTGAATCTCAGCCTTCTTGTTTATAAATGGAGATTAAATTAATATTCTTTTAGTGGTTTGTGAAGATATGTGCAGAAATTTATTTTCCAAATGAAAATGCTTGTAAAAAACCCATTGGTAAGGTATGCATTTAGGGGTTGTAAGGTGAAGGAAATTATAACAATGTGATAATCAGAGTAAGAAACTTTGAACCCTTAGAGTTAGCAGAGGTTAAGGACATCAGATATCATGCTGTTCAGTTCATGTCCTGCTCTAAGCAAGGCTGCCCAAACAGTTGTACATTGGGCCATCGATCATCTAGCTATTTAAGTTGAAATAGCTAAAAGGAAACCTGGCAGATTTGGAAGAATTAATTAGATGGATGTGAATGAAGTGATTAGAAGGGATTTTTATGTACGTATTATAATTTTGAGTAAACTTTTACTTAAACATATTTTGCACTCCCAAAACATATAGATCTAAGTTCATAGCCCAACACATTGTCACAGATTGAATAATCCCTTAAAATCAACACCCTGATCAAGAAATAGAACGGAAACTTCCCTAAAGTTAAGCCAGAAACGGCCCTCAAAGGGTAACTATTATATTATATTTAATTTTGAAATTATTCTTTGTCCTTTTTTGTAAGTTGTATGACTGAAATCATATTGTATGTACTCAATGGGCTTAGCTTAGCCTGTCATATATTGCATTTTTGAGTTCTATCTATGTTTTTGTATGTAGTAGTAACTCACTATTTCTCATTATTTAATTTAGTTCATTGGATAATGTACCACAATTAATTTATCAATTTTACTATGAAAGAACATTTGGGTTCTTTCCAGTTTTTCTTATTTTTAATTATTATTACAAATAATGCTCCTGCAAACATTTCTGTACATGACATTTGATATTTGTGATATTTGATAGCAACATGTACAAATTTATGTTGGATAAATTTCTGGATCATGTTGTATGTGCATATTCAGCTTTAGAAGGTACTGCCAAACACTTTTCAGAAGTACAAGTTCACATGTCCACTCACAGTGTATGAGATTTTAATACCTTCCACACCCTTACACACTGGTTTGATAAGTCTTTATAATCTTAGCTATCATAATGAATCTATAATAGAATCTCATTGTAGATTTAATTTGCATTTCCTTAATGACAAAAAACATTGAACATCTTTCCATACTAGTAAACTATTTGGATATACTCTACTTTAAAATACCTGCTAGAATTTTTAGCTCATTTTAAAAATGGTTTAGTACTGTATTTTCCTTTTTTGTTTATAGGAATTCTTCATATAGTTCGTATACAAGTCCTTTGCTGGATATATGTGTTGTGGACACCTTCTACCCCAGCATGCCTCTTCACTCTTATAATAGCATCTTTTGAGAATAAAAGTTTTAAATTATAATGTAATTTGTCAATCTCTTTTCATTATCAATACAAGACTTTTAAAATAAAATACGAAGCTTTTGTATCTTGCTTCAAAGTCTTTTACAATTTTAATACAATTTATATATTCTCCTTGGTTGAAGTTTTATCGTTCTGCCTTTTACATTTAGATCTACTAAACACCTGAAGTTGTGTTTTGTTATAATATCTGGAAAGAATCCAGGTATATATTTTTTCTAGATGGATAGTTGATTGTTCCAGCAACATTTATTGAAAAAAGTGTCCTTTTACCATTGCACTACAGGTTTATTTTGGTTCTATGTCTGGTGACTGATATGTACCCCTCTTTAAAAGCAGACTTTTTAAGCTGGTTAATTCTATAGGTTTTATTAATGTTTATTGTTACACATTGATTCTTTAGACTCTCATTCCTGGTTATGTTTTTAAGCTTTTTTTTTCTTGTATTGTCTCTCCTAGTTACCAACAATCAAAAGTAATCTGAGATAGTGTTAAGATAAACCCTACATTTAAGACCTATTTCGGATTTTGAGGACAGCATGAATGCAGACCAAATTAAATTCTCTATTTGACATCATTTTGTATTTCATGGGTAACATTAATGCACTCCAGAAACTTATGTGCCAGCTTATGGCTACAGATTCTCAGGGGAGATTATTTCCTACCTGCCCCCGACACCAAGTTAGCAGAGAGCCTCAAACAAAAAAATAAATTTGACATATTTTAAATCAAATACTATCTCTCCTAACTACACAGTATAGTGTTTTCATTAAGATAGCTTTACTTTAAAAAAATTCTCATAAAAAGATACATAATTATTTTTTACTAAAGCTCCTTTCATAAAGAAGGTAATGACTTCCTGAATGGATTGAAGTTCCTAGAAGGCTGGCTATATACATGGTAGACAAGCCTCAAGGCAAAGACAGAATTTCTGAATCCTGATCTAGACTTTATTTCCTATGCCCCAAATAAATTATGACTTGACTAATGATTCTGAAAAGTGAAAATATTGTGCCATTTAACTCAGCAAATCAGTCAAAATCAGATCCTTAAGAGTCCATTTATAGATATAGTCACATGCAATAGGTTATCTTACTCAGTGGAAATTTTTAATAGAGTACCAGTTGGTAATAACCATTTGGATTATAGAAATCATGATTCATCCAACTAATGTTATAGATACTCTGAGAGGTTGGAAAATGATGGTATGAACTTGCTTCGTAGTTAATTGGAACACATTCAAACTTAGCATTTTGTATTTTATAGCCTCAAGTCACTTACCAGCCATAAGCATCAGTACTCAACAAAGTTTTTTGCTCCCCATAAATTTGAGAATGGAGAACCTGGAAGTGGGTCAATGTGCCTTTTTTCTTATAGAAATTTTACTGAGTCTACAGGATCTGACTCTGGATACAACAATCGATGTTTCAGTGTTTTCCATTTGTCACATTTCTCTAAGGAACTCTCCAGTTCTACTTTTGAGAAGCAAATGGATTTGCAGCAATGAGCCAACCATAAAGGATAATTCATGGGTATTCAAATGTGAATTTAATGTGAATGTAGGCTTAAGATGGGATGTAGCTGCAAAATTCATATCAGCAGAATTTTAAGTTACCAGATCTCATTACACTTTTGTGCTTTTATTGTTGATGACATCTGTCTTAGTCCATTTTGTGTTGCTATAACAGAATAACTGGGACTGGGTAATTGTTTTTTAAAAAAGTTTATTTAGCTTATGATTCCAGTGGCTGGGAAGTCCTAGAGAATGGCACTGGCGTCTGCTAGGCTTCTGGCAAGGGCTTTCATTCTGCTTCAACTCAGTGCAGAAACCAGAAAGGAAAACCAGCAAAGAGAGACGCAGGAGAGTCTAGGTTTTTTTCTCTTGAGAGAACTAGTCCATTTTCAAGAGAGCAAAAACTCACTGACTTTCTCAAGCTGACATTAGTCTATTCATGAGGATGATTCCCCCATAATCCAAATACCATAGATTCCACCTCCCAACACTATCACATTGGGAATTAAATTTCAACATGAGTTTTGGTGGGAGACAAACCGCATCTAAACCATAGAAACAGTCCCTTTCCCTTGGCCATGAACTACAGTAGATATTTATGTGCCTGCTGCTTCTAATGGTTGGTCCCAAAAGACTATCTAATACCATTCCTGTTTTTTTAATACTTCAATTTTTATTGATAAAAAATTACAGTGACTCCTCCCAAGTACATATCCATTTTAATAGGGGATGTTTAAAAAGGATTCAAGATTTAAAAATAACCTCTCATAATAAAAAGATGAACAAAGCAAGTGCTAGATAGGCAAGGGACTTCTCTGACTCCTTCTCTGATTTGTGTCACATAGGAAGTCACTTTTTCTGTCACTTCAACATCAGACTACCTTGATAGCCTCCAGTTCTGTTGAATAAACAATCCTTTGACATGCATGGGAGAATTCGTTTTCTTGCTTTCTGTTTTTACCCTTGCTGACATAGCAAACGAAGCAGAAACCAATAGCAAGGATTCAGGCTCAGGAGAGCCTAATATTTTTAGAGTCAACCAGTAATTTACTAGTTGGCCAAAGTTTGTCTTCTGCTATCTGCCTTGAGCCATTATGGTATAGAACAGAATGAAAATAAAATAGACCTCAATTACATATCTGTGTGCTTATTGTAAAATTTATTCAACAGTTCTCCAAACCCTATCAGTAGGAACTTGTAGATGCTTAGAATGTATAAAATGCCATATATTTGACTCTTTTCTTCCTCAGCCTGGTTTCTAAGTTAAAAAAGAGCAAATACAATGTTGATATACAAAATGGCAACATCATGTATTAAGTCCTCTGTGTTGGAGGCAACAACACTGAAATATCCCTGATCAAAGATGTATTCAATCTGTCACGTTTTTCACTTTGGCTTTAAATATTTGATTTAGTGAGAAATTGTAGTATCCAGATATCTAAAGTGATGATCTATTTGGAAATCTTTGTTAAAACAAATACTAGCTTCACTCCATTTGGTGATGTCAGGTTGAGACTAATTCCTCTGTAGGGGTGGATGATTTGTATTTGTTATCTATTGCTGCATAATATATAACTATGGATTTTAGCAGGTTAAACAAAACATGTTTATTATCTCACAGTTAATATTGGTCAGTAATCTGGGTACAATTAACTGGAGCCTCTACTTCAGAGTTTCCCACAGGCTATAATCAAGCTGCCATCTGGGCTGTAGTAATCTTTAAACTTAAAAAGGAAGAGATCTACTTTCAAGCCTAAGTGGCTCTTGGTAGAATTCAGTTCTTCATGAGTTGTTGGACTGATGGCTTCAGTTCCTCACCGTCTGTTGAACACGTTGCAAGAAGCAATCTGACACTTTCCCAGGTGCAATGTTTAAAAAAGTTCTTAATAAGCTGATACTCCAAAATCATAGAATTCTGGTATTTCTTCAGGTGAAAATAAAGCAATGATTCATTTTAAGTTTGGCAATAGAGCCTGAATTTCTCTTCTTTAAGAGTGTTGGTCTTTCATTAGAATTGAAGACCTGAGTTATTATTTATTTGGAGAGTGTTAACAGGTAACAGGCCTGAAGTACTAGTATTTATTCATTATGGCTATTTCTTTCAGGAATATAAGCTTCCTTGACCACTCATAGGCTTGTGCCATGTCCAGCTGAATACAGTACTTTTATTTGACAAATAGCTGAAAATCAATATTTGCATTTCAGGTCTGTCACTGAAATAAAACCTAAAATTTTCAAAACAACTTTTTGGTTTTAAGATGGCCTTAATAAATATTTGATAAAAGATAAAATGTTTAATTAGTAATGAGTAGCTTAATATATTATACTTTATGAGATTTAACTCCATAGAAGCCATTCAGAAGCTATTATCTTTTTAAAAAGGTTATCCAACAGTGAAAATTGAGGATGACTGGGAAAATTGAGGGGTGAAGAAATGTTACGAAGCATGTGATGGAATTGATTTCTTCCTCCTTCTTAGTGATCTGTTATCATTTTTATATTCCAATTACTAGGCATCGCAAATGCAAACTTCTGAGTTGTTGTGTATTCTGCTCTCTAAATGGAACTCTCTCCTCTCAGATATCTGCGTGCATTGTCCTTCTCACCAACTAGATCTATGCTAGAAGGGCACCATCCTTTCCTATCGGAGAGGCCCTTCCTCATCACTGAATTTAATAGAGTAAGACATTCTCCTCCATTACTCTCTATCCTCTGACACTGTTTATTTTACTCCATAATACTTATCACCATCTGGCATACATGCATACCCTGTTTTATTGCACTTTGTTTTATTGCATTTCACAGAGATTGTGTTTTTAAAAAATTGATGATTTGTGGCAACCCTGCGTAGAGTAAGTCTCTCAGCACCATTTTTCCAACAGCTGGTGCTCACTTTGAGTCTCTGTGTTACATTTTGGTAACTCTCACAATATTTCAAACTTTTTCATTATTGTCATATCTGGTTATGGTTATCTGTCATC